>NC_000006.12:162798062-162949577 GCF_000001405.40 Homo sapiens
TTATAGTAACTTTGATATTGTGCTAGGTCCCACTTTAATACTTACTGCTGAATTGAATTGATTTTTCCTAAATGCTTATTTAAAGTGGGCTTCTGGGTCTAGGCTTCTTGATCCAACCTTTTCCCTCTCTATTCTGTCGGAAAGAATGATGGTTGCAAGTGTCATTTGTTTATGTATTTATTTGTGTTTGTGGGTCCCTCTTCTGCCTCTTTGATCCACAAATGGATGTGAAGGGACTTTTACTGGGAGCCTTATTTATACTCATTTTTGCAAACAAGAAACAAATGTTGTCCCTCATGAGTTCTCCCTCACCAGAAATACATTTTTTTCTGGTGTTTTCTAGAATCCCTCAATGATCTCCATCACTCACCATATTTCCTCTCTCTCCTTCCTCCCACATAGCTTGTGCCTTATGTTAGCTGCTTTTGGTGGTCAGTTTTTCTCCTAATTTTACAGCAAGTGAGGCTTATGGTTCCTTTTTATTTTTATTCATCTTATTTCATTCATATGATTTCCAAAATAAGAAGAAGAAAGGAGAAATGTTCACACTAGAAATTATATTAACTTTTGAGATTTAGTACTTGTTAGGTACCAAGGCACTAAAGGAGGCTGTGAAGTGGGGCATTTGCTCAACACCTCCTCTATTTCCTTTTGAAAGTGAAAGCTTCTTGTCTGTGGTTACTCATATGTCATCGTATATTTAAAAATCAAAAATACAGTAACATATTTCAAAGGAAAGATGTATTAGGAAACCCCTCACTGAGTCAGATTGTGTGTGTGTGTTGTGTGAATTACTTATACAAGTATATGGAATGCCTATATAAAATTTTAGTATCTAACATATTTCAAATTCTGCTTACCAATTCTATTCAAATCATGTAATCGTATGCATGCATCAAAGTAAATAACGCTATGCAAAAAAGAATAACTTCTGAATGTAAAGAAAGCTATTAACAAAGCTTCTGGATTGGTGAATTGCGAGTGTCTGGCTGTTACTGGGTAGATAAATGGCCAAGTCAGACTTGTTGATGGAGAGTGGTCAGGAGTTCAATCTGCATGTGGATTAGTTGGCTTTATTTTGGAAACAAGCTGACCAAACTTCAGCCAGCTTTCACAAATGAAGATTTTGGCTCAGGGAAAAAAATGCATATTTACTAAAAAATAATAAAATGTAAATGAAAATAAAAATACTTTGCATCTGAATAGTGAAAGATGCATTACTATCTTTATTTAGGGCAGACAACATGCTGTTTAGGTACATGTTCATCTTTTCTCCTTTTATATTCTTAATATTTCTTTCATGGTCGAATAGACTGTGGTGGAAACTGTGGTGGAAAAAACCTAGGTTGATAGGACTCCAATCTAGTGTTTCTTATTAAATTATCTTCCAGTTAAGTTGTAGTAAGTGTGCTTTATGTGTGTGATATATATTTCGTACATTTCTTGCTTTCTTTATTATTGGAGTTTCTAAATCATAATCAGAGTATTTCATAGCTCTGTAAATTGTGTTAACTTCCTAAGTATTTTATTTTAGAGGGAGCCAGTGCGATGATGGGAAAGTGGGACCCTTTTTTTTTTCTTACTACTATAAATATCTTTTATTGTAGACAGTTCTAAGAATTGTTTTCTATTAAATAGCTATAGTTTTTTCTTCTGGAGAATTTCAGTTTGCATCATTAGACACAAGGATTTTCAAATTTTCTATTAAAATATTCATGATATGTAAGATGTGAATGGTAATAGTCTCTTAATAGATACAAAAATAACATTTTTTACTCTAATTATTCAGTAAGAAATAACTCTTGCAAGACACAGAAGATATATGTTTAGATATAAACTGTTTACCACCTTTCAACATTAAAGGTATTAGGAGAGTAGAATATATTTTACACTCTTGCCCATTTATATTCTCCTTTCACATTTGGCTCACTCATTCCTTTGGCCTTAGAGTTAGGTGTGACAGTGTATTAGCTAAGCTGTCTCAGTCATTCAGGCCTTTTATCAGTTCTACAAGACAGATGCTAAATAGCATAGTCTAAATTGAAGTCTCTGATGACTCTCGGAGACAAGTTGAAGGCAAGAACTGCACTTGGGCACTTAAATATGTGGCCTTTTTCTATATTTAACTGCAAGAAGAAGGCAGCTTTTAAGTAAACTTTTTAGCCTTTAACTGTCAAGAATTTTTTTAATCATTTGATTGTTGCATCTCATTTTGTTAAGAAAGGCTATTAACCTTTTCTTTTTCTCCTACAATGGAGAATTTTAAAGATCACTGCTGCCTATTATTTTAAACAAAAATAATTTAAAACAAATTTTGTTGTTTAACCATTGCTTTCAGGACAATTGTAGACTATAGAGACATTTTTGAAATGAAATATTGCTTCCAAATGTGCCACAGTTTATCTATAAATTTTGAATGACATACTCACAATTTACTTAGCAATCTTTGGGACCTCCTTATGTCATACAGTTATTACAGAAGCATTTTTAAAATCAAGTGGACCTGAAAGAATCTGGTATCTATGAAATGGAGATAGATGTTAAGTAATAGAGCTGAAGAAAATATGCTTTGAAATGTCGACTGGGATATGTTTCCATAGCCTGTTTGAATTTCAGTTCACCAAGAGGAAAACAAGGAGTTGATGTGTTCTTTGCAGTTCCTCTTAGCTCCAAAAGTGTGTGAATGCTCTGATAATATTGTATGTCCTCAGTATGTGTTGAATTAATACATTGAAGTTTTCCCTGCCAGCCCTTGTTGCCTGTAGTGCCTTATTTTTAAAGACTCCGTAGGATGCTCACTCAACATGTTAAGTTAGAAAGGTGTAGAAGGAATCGTAGAGGTCAGCCAGGAACATTTTACAGGAGGCTGAGGCTGCAAGGGTCCAATCCCCACACCTGGCAGTTCCTCCACGTGCGCTGAGCCGTCTTCTGAACTGCCTGCGTCTTCGTGGACCTCCTTAAATCTTTCTGGAAACAAGGCCGCTTACAATGTGTGGTCAAGCTGAAAAACCAGCTGTAGTACCAAACTGTGCTAAATCTTTTAGCTGAAATATTTGTCAATTTTCTTTTTTTTTGAGGCAGAGTCTCGCTCTGTTGCCCAGGCTGGGGGATATCTTGCCTCACTGCAACTCCACTTCCTGAGTTCAAGCAATTCTCCTGCCTCAGCCTCCCGAGTAGCTGGGATTACATGTGTGTACCACCATGCCCGGCTAATTTTTGTATTTTTAGTAGACATGGGGTTTCACCATGTTGGCCAGGCTGGTCTCAAACTCCTGACCTCAGGTGATCCGCCCCCCTTGGCCTCCCAAAATGCTGGGATTATAGGCGTAAGCCACCATGCCTGGCTAATTTTCTACATATTACTATCTTATACTGATAGCATTGCATCTTTCTCATAGCACCGATTAGAAAAAAAAATGCATCATAAGTTATTTGTTTTTCTGTGATCATCAAAAGGCAATGGTAATTTAAATGTAATTTATTATAATATGCACATGTTAATTTTGGTTTTTATTTATGTTCATCATATTTAAACTAGTCTCTGCAAGTACTTTAGACTAATTTAGATTATTTCCTTTAAGTCTAACAGAAACCTTAGATTTTCAACCAGATTTTTCATTTGGACAAATGAATTTCAAAACAGGAAATATGAATTTTATTGCAAGAGATTTCACCTAGAAAGTGTATTGATCTCATCAATAGTGAATTTTTGGTTATAAGATTGTAGTAATAATTAATAACTACTTAAATTTATAAAATTTATAGAAAATTCAGACAAATTAATTCTGATTTAACTGTTAACTACAAAAGTTGTAAATGGACAAATACAGGGAATAGCAAACATAATTTTCTAATAATTATTTCTAATTAAAATTGTACAGAATTCAGGTTCATAGGAAATTATAATACGTTTTTGTCTGGATCCACTGAAACCTGTAGGTACTCTGTAAAGGCTAAGTAACATTTTCTAATGAAAAGGAACAATGCCTTCAGATCGAAGAGGTTTATCTTCTGAGTTTGCAGAATTCTATATATTTTTTGTGACATTTCTCATATTCTTATTTCAAGTGCAGATTGTGGGTGGTATTTTTATCTCTTCTCCTAATAATATATATCTTGGAGCTAATGTATTTGAGTTGTATTTTTCCCCGCTCGTACTAAACCTAGTAACTTGTGAAAATTAAGTAGTCAATATATTTTTAATGAATAAATGATATAGGTAAAAGTCTAATTTAGAGCTATTTTCTTAACTCTGTTTCTAGTAAATAATTTAGTTTATGTGACCATAGATCCCCAAATTCATATTTATGAGCTCCTAACATTGAAAAACTTACTCTGCACTTTACATGTTTCTCTGGCCATTTTATGTAAGTGCATTGGTTATACATATAGCTTGTTTTCTAAAATCCACTGCGGTTCCATAAGTGGTTATATAATTTATGAATTCCAGTGTAATAGTCCATTAATTTACCTCTCTTTTCCTATTTCCAGTTACCATTGGTTTTGACCTCCTTCAGCAATCACACCTTGCTAACATCTCAGATCTTGACATCCCACAGGGTAGAAAGGCTCCTATAGAATACAGATCCTTCTTCATATTTCTCACCCATTCCTCAGTGCACTACAGTCTGGCTTCCACCTCATCATGTCACTACTGCTTTTAGATTTTCAGATGGATACTTTCAGTCCTCCTCTTAATGATCTCCCTTTATTATTAAAAAACAAAAACAAAAAAAATGGTCTCTCTCACTTGTTGAATTTTATGGTATCATCCCTTTTCCATTTTCTTGCTACTATTCTGACTATTCTTTCTATTCTCCTATAGAATCCTCTTGTTGTTAAATATTCAGGTACTGTCTTGGGGCCTCAGCCTTTTTCTCACTATACACTCTCTCTTTGGGAAAAGTTGCCCGTTTCCATAGATTGAACCTACCACTTGGTCACAGCCAAACATAACCAACAGCTTAGACCTCTCTAATAAGGACTCTTCAGATGTCCAGTTGTTCAGTGACCCCCCAAGTTGTTTACCCCACAGGTATTGCAAGCTTAATGTGAAGAAGGATCAAACCCCACTTCACAGTAGGGATGTGGTTTGTTAGGAAAGGTTTGTGCTGAGTCTTGAAGGTGATTAATGGTTATTCAGGAGAAAAGGAAGGAGAAAAGAAAAGAGTGAGGGCACGAGGGAGAATTACAGGCTGATGGAAAATCATGGAGACCAAGGAGGAGCAGGATATATTTGAGACTGCCAGCATTTTGGTGTGACTAATGCTTGAAGGGCCTGTGCAGGAACAACCTGAGAGACTGACAGTCAGCTTGCAAATGTCTTTGTGTAGTGTGTCAATGGGAAATCATTGATGGATTTTAAGTAGATGAGAGATATGATTTAATTAGTCTATTAGAATATTCATTGTGCAGCACACAGAGGAATCAACTAGAAAAAGCAAAGCTGGAGGCAAAAAGAGCAAATAAAGAAAAGACAGAGACTTTCTTACACAAAATTTAAAACTTTTAAATGCTAAATAAATAAAATGGGAAACAAAGATGATAAGATATTTTCAGTCAATACAACCAGTATTTAATATATTCCAGTATAAAGATCTCATACAAATTAACATTAATGAGGAAAAGACATGAACACGCATTCACAATGCATGCATATTGTATTTATACAAAATGAGAAAATGCTCATCCTCCTTTGTTAAATGTAGTAATCTAAATTGAACAGGAAGACTCATCTATTTTTTAATTAGAAAATAATATTATCAAGATCATAAAATATACAAAAAATTTACCTCATTATCTCACTTTGGAGACTCTGTCTGAAGGAAATAATATAAAACATCATATGCCTGGAATATTTATACAATGTAATTACAATAGGCAAAAAATTGAAATAATATAAATTCCAAATATAATGGCAAATAGTAGGTGGAATATTACTTAGCTATTAAATACAAAATTTTGATAGAAATGGCAACATCGAAACATATTAAACTAAGTTTAAAAGTACACTAAATGGAAAGGACATAAAAATGTAAAAATATGGTATCTGCAGTGCTATGTTTTTGAAAAGTTTAAAGGGAAAAGCACAAAGTTATTAATAGGTGGTAGGATTACAAGTGATTTAATAAGATTTTCTTGCAAGCTTTCTACAGTTTCTTATTATTTATATGATTTAAACAAATAGACAATTTGTAACTTTGTAGTCTTGAAATCTAAATTCCATCTCTGCCTGTAGCTCTCCTCATCCAATCGGTCAGGTGCCCCGAATAATCCTTTAGATTTTTGCTTGAATTTAATAATCTAGGACAGTGACTGAGGGACATGTCCTGTAGAGACAAAGAGATTGGGGGTTAAAGTCTTTTTCTGACTGTGTGCTGACATGGTGATTTCCAGCCGGTTATTTTCTCTCTTCAATTTCCTTGTCTGTGAAATAATTTTCATACGGTTTTGTTGCAAATTGATACCAGTAATGTTCATAAAGCAATGAACACAGTATGAGGGGTTTTGTTCTTATTCTTGATGCCACCTTAATTTAAGGCTTTTGCCATCCCATGCTTGGACCACTGCATTGAAATGCAGACCATTCACCTTGACTCTATATTCTCCTGACCTCAGGCCATTCTGTTAGACCTTGACTGAAAACCCTTCGGGAAGTTGATGGCTCAAATCACTTGAAGTTTTCCCTGCCAGCCATTGTTGCCTATAGTGCCTTATTTTTAAAGACTCTATAGGATGCTTACCAATATATTGAATATTTATTGAAATACAGTCATGTATTCCTTAAATGTGGGGATCCATTCATGCGTTGTTAGGCAATTTCATCATTGCATGAACATCATACAGTGTACTTACACAAACTTAGATGGTATTGCCTACTACACACCTAGACTATGTGTTGTAGCCTATTGCTCCTGGGCTTCAGACCTGTACAAGATGTTACTGTATTGAATGCTGTAGGTAAATGTAAGAAGATGGTAAGTACTTGTGTATCTTAAACATATCTAAAGATAGAAAAGGTATGGTAAAAATATGGTGTTATAATCTTCTGGGACTACAATGGTATATGTGGTCCGTTGTTTACTGAAACATTGTTCTGCAACACATGACTATATATAAAGGGCGACCTTGGAGATATCACAGATTCAGTTTCAGACCACTGCAATGAAGCAAATATCTCAGTTCAGAGAGTCACGTGGTTTTTTTGTTTCCCAGTGCATATAAATTATATTTATACTATATTATAGTCTAATAAGGTACAATAGCATTATGTCTAAAAACAATGAGCCTACCATAATTAAAAATACTGCTAAAATATGCTAACAATCATCTGAGCCTTCAGTGAGTCTTAGTCTTTTTGCTGGTGGAGGGTCTTGCTTTGAGGCTGATGGCTGCTGACTGATCAGTGTGGTGGTTGCTGAAAGCTGGTGTGGCTGTGATGATTTCTTAAAATAAGACAACAATGAAATTTGCTGCATTGATTGATTTTTCTTTTCATGAAAGATTTCTCTGTAGCATGTGATGCTGTTTAATACCATTTGATGCACAGTAAAACTTCTTTCAAAATTGGAGTCAATCTTCTCAAATTGTGCCCATGCTTTATCAATTAAGTTTATGTTTGCTGTCATTGTCCTTTTTTATCATTTTGATAATGTTCAAAGTATCTTCACCAGGAGTAGATTCTGCCTCAAGAAACTACTTTCTTTGCTCATCCATAAGAAGCAGCTCCTCATTAAAGTTTTTTATGAGGTTGCAGCAATTTGGTCACATCTTCACTTCTAATTCTAGACTTTTTGCTATTTCTGCTACATCTCCAGTTACTCCACTGCAGTCTTGAACCCTTCAAAGTTATTCATGAGGATTGGAATCATCCTTCCTTTTAATGTTGATATTTTGACCTCTTCCTATGAATCAGAAAGGTTCTTAATGGCATTTAGAATGGTAAATCCTGAATCTTTTGCAGAATATTTAAATTTACATTGCCCAGATACATCAGAGGAATCACCATCTATGGCAGCTAGAGCCTTACAAAAATGTATTTCTTTCTTTCCTTTTTTTTTTTTTAGATCGAGTTTCACTCTTGTTGCCCAGGCTGGAGTGCAATAGCACAATCTCAGCTTACTGCAACCTCTGCCTCCCGGGTTCAAGCGATTCTCCTGCCTCAGTCTCCCAAGTATCTGGGATCACAGGCATGCACCACCACGCCCAGCTAATTTTGTATTTTTAGTAGAGCCAGGGTTTCACCATGTTGGTCAGGCTGGTCTTGAACTCCTGACCTCAGGTGATCCACCCCCACCTCAGGCTTCCAAAGTGCTGGGATTACAGGTGTGAGCCACCACACCTGGCCTAAAATGTATTTCTTAAGTAAAAAAAAAAAAAAAGCTGAAAGTCAAAATTACCCCTTGATGCATGGGCTGCAGAATGGGTGTTGTGTAAGCAGGGATGAAAACAACATTCATCTCCTTGTACATCTCCATCAGAGCTCTAGGGATACCAAGAGCTTTGTCAATGAGGAGAATACTTTGAAAGAAATCTTTTTTTCTGAGCAGTAGATCTCAACAGTGGGCTGAAAATATTCAATAAACCATGCTATATACAGATGTGTTGTCATCCAGGCTTTGTTGTTCCATTTACAGAGTACAGGAAGCATAGATTTTGCCTCATTATTAAGGGCTCTAGAACTTTTTAAGTGCTCAGTGACCACTGGCTTCAACTTAGAGTCACCAGCTGCGTTAGCCCCTAACAAGAGAGTCAGCCTGTCTTTTGAAACTTCAAAGCCAAGCATTGAATTATCCTCAGTAGCTTTAGCAGCCCAGTGTCCTCTTCCAATAGAAGGCTGTTTATTCTACATTAAAAATCTGTTGTTTACTGTAGCCACTTTCATCATTTATCTTAGGTAGATCTTCTGGAAAATTTGCTGCAGCTTCTCCATCAGCACTTGCTGCCTCACCTTGCACTTTAATTTATGGAGATGGTTTCTTTCCATACATCTCACAAATCAACCTCTACTAGCTTCACACTTTTCTTCTGAAGCTTCCTCACCTCTCTCAGCCTTCACAGAATTGAAGACAGTTAGGGCCTTCCTCTGGATTAGGCTTTGGCTTGAGAGAATGTTGTGGCTGGTTTGATCTTCTATCCAGACCACTCAAACTTTTTCCGTATCAGCAATAAGCCTGTTTCACTTTCTCATTATTCATGTGTTCACTGGGATAGCACTTTTTATTTCCTTCAAGAACTTTTCCTTTGCATTCACAACTTGGCTAACTATTTGGTACAAGAGGTCTTCCAGCCTGTCCTGGTGTCCAATATGCCTTCTTCACTGAGCTTAATTATTTCTAGCTTTTGATTCAGAGGAAGAGATGTGTGACTCTTCCCTTCATTCGAACACTTAGGAGCCATGTAGAGTTATTAATTGGACTCATTTCAATATTGTTCTGTCTCGGGAAATAGGGAGGCCTGAGGAAGGGAGAGAGATAGGGGAATGGCCAATTGGTGGAGCAGTTAGAACACAAACATTTATGGATTAAATTTGTTGCCTTATATGAGAGTTGTTTGTGGTACTCCCCCAAAATCACAATAGTAACATTGAAGATTACTGATCACAGGTCACCATAACAGATATAATAATGATGAAAAATTGAAATAGTACCAGGATTACCAAAACATGATGCAGAGACATGAAGTGAGCCGATGCTGTTGGAAAAATGGCACTGATAGTCTTACACAATGCTAGGTTGCCACAGACCTTCAATTTACTAAATAAACACAATATCTGTGAAGCACAATAAACCAAAGTGCAATAAAATGAATGTCTCTACGTATCCGTAACAAATAAGACTCATATCTTTTCTGACTATCATGATCATAATATATTGTTAAATTCTTAAATTGTTATATTGTTATAACTTATTATAATCATTTTACTTGGTATTATGAGCTCATTTTTGCTATCATTGAGACACCTATCTTCTATTACAATACAATTTTCTTATTGTAATAATTTTGTAAGCATTGTCCTGGTCATTTGGTGACCTTGAGTATTGTAAAATTTCTGATGTAGTGAAGCAATTACAGTTGGCAAATGAGGCAGATACTGAATTACAGAACTTCTCACTCAGGAGCCTACGCTGAAGGTAACCGATTTACCATTCCTGAGACTAACAGTCCAGTCCTGACAGAACTCAAGTCAACAGGTCTTGCCCACCCGTTTATAACAATGGCGTTTTCATGAATCAGAATTTCAGATTGAACCTGATGAAAACAAGTAATCAATATCTTTGCATCCTATTGTTTCAGTGTTCTAGTGGGTTGGCTAAATGGGCCAATTAGAATAACACAATGCAAATTTCCTGCTTGATATAAAAGTCTTTTTTAAACAGCTTCAGTTTATGCTAAATAATAAAAATAGTGAAAAGGAAATTTTCAAACTATATGATGAAGACTTCAAGAGCCTTACATTCCTTCCTTATTATTATTAGTTTTGTGACCATATGATGGACACTGTGATCTAAGTCCTAAATCCATTATGCCACATTCCGTAAATGTAGGCATATAAAGTATTCTGTCATCTGTAGTTATTTCAAACTGCATTCAATATCTTGGTTCCCAAGTGCATTGGATTTTATTAAAAGCATTCTGCTGTAACATCCATTCTTCCCAATTGGTTTACAGATTGCCCCTACCATTCAGGCAAACCCTAATTGCATTTTCCCACAAATCTCGTTTGATTTATGGTCTCTTGTTTGCTTTATATTATTTATAATAAATTGAGGTAAAATTCTTAAAACATGAAATAAAATTTATAATATTTTCTCTTCTACAAATATGGAACTTACCTAAGGATTTTCAGAGTCGTTTTGCTTGTTTTAAAAGTTGTTTAGACAAGCTACAACCATCTGCATGGTTTCCAATAATAAGTTCTTTATTACCATCCCAGAATTAATTATATTTCGCTTGATTTTTTTTATGTACAGATGTTTAGGATTATATGGAATAAATTATGTATAGAATATAAAAATGGTATGTCCTTCTATAAAGCTTAGGTGGTTACACATGTCATATGTACCTGGAACAGAAAAAAATATTATTTCAGCAGTAGTGACAAAGCATCTGCATAAAATTCAGTGCCACTGATGCACCGAGACAGCTAATTGAGAACATTCTTGCTTCTGTTACAAGTTCCGGCTTTTGAGATGCCAAGAGTTAGTTTAGAATGGATCTATAGCAGATCCCAAAAAGTATAAAGTGTTTAAAAATAAGTAAATAGCAGAAATATAAAGACAGAGGATACCAGAGACTTAAGAAGAGAATTTCTCACTGTCAAGTGATTACATATCACCATGGATTATTTTGTAAAGTTCTCTTCTAAATAAAGGCTTTCCATGGAAGTGCAGGCATGGAATCATTTCTGTAGGGTACATGAAAATTTATTGAAAGGAAGAAGTATAAGTTATCTATATCGATTTATGAATAGCCTTCTAAGCTTTGTTAGAAATGTGTCTATTCAGTCAAAAGTTTGAACATTAAGAATTTTGAGCTGAGAATCAGAAAGATTGGAGTATATTCAGTATAAGAGACAAAAAGAAAAGAGAAATTGATTTTTTGAGAAGTGCAAAGACAAAAGGGGGAAAGATGGATGATCTCAACAAATTTTAGACCAACTCAGTAAGTGGGAGGCTTATTATCAACAGTAAAAATAACTATGTGACTTCTAGAAAAACTCAGAAAGGGTGGTTAGTGGATGATTAGCAAACAAAATATCTAAATAATGGTTGTAGTTGAGTTTCTTAAATGGGGCTTTGGGACTTTCCTCTTCACTAGAATAGTAAAGAGGCCCCAACATCTGCAGTGCCAGTGGAGACCTCACGAGGAGCTTGGGCTTGTTCCCCACTTAGTGACGAAAGAGTTGTCTCCTTCCCATTGGAGTTAAGTCAGAGGACTGCCTAGAGAGTCAGGAATTTCACCACTGCCCAGGGTAATGAGGCCACACTGTTTATGATGTCAGTGTGGACAATGGGGGAGCAGTAATGAGTCACTCCTGCCCCTTCCAGCCAGGAGGGCATCAGTGGAGGCCTAGTGGGTTCTGGAATCTCCATCCCCACCCAGTATTAATAAGGCACTCCCTCCTCTGGGGTCACCCAGTATTAATGAAGCATTCTCTCCTCTGGGGTCAGCAGACGCCAAGTAGAGTAATGAGACCTCTACCCCAACTTGGCAGTAATAAGGTAGCACCCTTCCCCCAACCTTTGCCAGAGAAATGTCAGAATAAGCAAGCTAAAACGGAAGCTTTAAGATCTCATAATATAATGTATCAAACATACTGGTTTCACAAGAAAATCAGTAATGACACCAAGAATCAGGAAGATCTCAGAGTGAATGTAAAAATATAATCAACAGGTGCCAACAACAAGATAACAGAAATGTTAGAAATGTCTAGGGAAGAATTTTAAATTAGTTACTTCCAAAAATGCTTTTATGAATATTATGACACCCTTGAGACAATGAAAGAGTGGAAAGTCTCAGAAAAGAAATAGACGATATAAAGATGAACCAAATAGAAATTGTAGAACTGAAAATACAACTCAAATTAAATAAAAGCATATTTGGGCTCAACAGCAGAATGCAGTAGGCAGAAGGAAGAATCCACAAACTTGAAGATAGAGCAGTAGAAGTTACCCAATATGAACGACAGAGAAAACAGGCTGGAAAAAGAAAAAGTTTCAGGGATCTGTGGCACTGTAACAAAAGATCTAACATTAATGTCATTGGAGTCTACAAGGAAAGGAAAAAGAAGCCAGGCCAAAGAAGTACTCAAAGAAATAATGACTGAAAACTTTCTAAATTTGGCAAGAGACATGAACCTACAGATTCACAAAGTTGAACAAACTTCAAACAGGATAAAAAGCAAAGAAATGCATGCAAAGGCACATCGTAATTAAACTTCTGAAAATTAAAGACAGAGAAAAATCGTGGCATAACTAAAAAAAAGTGGCACCTTATAAATAAGGGAAAGCAATGTGAATGAGAGTGGATTTATCATCCAAAGCCTTGAAGGGTAGATGGAAGTGGCACACTATTTTTCAAGTGCTAAAAGATAGAACCATGAACCTTAAATCCTACATCCAGTTAAAATGTAGTTTTGGAAATGCAGAAGAAATCAATAAAATTGGCCAACTTCTAGTAAGACAGACAAAGGAGAAACCGAAGACACAAATTACCAAATATCAGAAATGAAGAATGGATATCTTGAGAGACCCTCCAGACATCAGAAGGATAATACAGAAAAAACACAAGCAATTCTACACTTGTAAGTTTAACTACTTAAATAAAACGGGCCAATTCCTCAGAAAATACATGTTACTGCAAGTCATCCAATAGGAAGCAGATTCTTTGAGTAGCTCTATAACTTTAAAGGCTATTACATTTGTAATAGAAAACTCCATATCAAAAGGTGACAGAATAAAAATCACAGAAGCATATTGACTGACGCAGAAAAAAATTGAAAAAATTGAACATTTAGTTATAATGAAAAACTATCAGAAAAATAAGAATAGAGGGGGAAAGGTCATCAACTTGTTAAAGAGCATCTACAAAAAATTTTGCAACTTTATTCATAATAGCCAAACCCAGGAAGTAATCCATATGACCTTTAAAGGTGGATGGGTAGACAAACTGATGTATCCATGCCATGGAATACCATTCACCATTAAACAGCAATGAACTGTTGATATAGGTTGACAACCCCTTATCTGAAATGCTTGGGATTCAAAGTGTTTTGGATTTTTGATTTTTTCAGCTCCAATAAGCATTTCCTGTGAACAACCATGTCAGCGCTCAAAAAGTTTCAGATTTTGGAGCTTTTCAGATTTTGATACTCAATCTGTACACACAACAACTTATATGATTCTACAGAGATTTATGTGGAGTGAAAAAGGCCAATTCCAAAGGGTTACATGTTGTATGATTCTTGAAATAACAAAATTATAGAAATGAAGAGGACATAGTTGTTGCTAGGGGACGAAGGTTAAGGGGAAGAAAGAGTGTGGCTGTATAAGGGCAAATTGAGGGAACTTTGTGGTGGTAGAAATGTTCTTGTCTGTATCAATGTCAATAACCTATTGTGATATAGTATCACAGTTTGTAGGATATTCCCATTCGGGAAAGCAACTAAAGGCTATGTGTGTTCTCTGTGTGTTATTTCTTACAACTGCATATGGATCTATGATTATCTTAACAAAAAGTTAAACAAGAAAAATAAAATAAAATAAATGAGGCTTTTGCTGACCAGTAATCAGTGTTCTACAATAACAATACACACACACATGCACATACATATTTGCACTATACACTGGCACTATTGCACATAATTTACTATAAATATTTGTTCACACATTTATGCTCATTTAACTTGGTCAAATTTTCTTTCTTTAGATTGTATTATATCACTTTTTTGAGGGTGTTAAAATGGTGCCATATTGGTAGATGTTACCATCTACCTTTTCTAAAAAAAAATAACTTTTTGGCAACATAAAAATTTGTCAATCATTTATCATTTCCAAAAAATGTGATTCAAGATTTACTCCTCCATGAATTTCAGAAGTCCAGGAATCACAGTTCTACAGTTTCCATGATAGTAATATAGCTAAAACTGTTCTTTTTATGTAGCCTCCAGCTTAAAGAGCTGAACAAAATAGTTGTTAAATACATGTGGTTATTTGATAATTGAATGAATTTGACTGAAAATGGTGGCTATTAATTCTAATTCCAGAACAAATTCCTAATCTTCAATAAGTAAAAGGAAATCTTCCTTCCTACTGGTAATACCCAATGCTGCCTCAATTACTCATATAATCATATACTGGGAGTAATGTGCTATGTAGTGGAGTAAATTCTAAACTCTAATAAATGTGTGTTACCTCACTCTTCAACTCCACTTCAGCATTTAATCATTGTAATAAGGTATTTCTTAATACCACACTTAATTTCAAATATAATCCTTTTATATATGTATTAGATACAATGTATTTTTCATATCTAATATGTGTATTGTATGTTTATTTATTGTATGTTATTTAGATATGTTAATATATTCATTAAAATTGGAGTTTTTAACAAAAATATTACAAATTAACATATAAAATAACTAAAAATATTAGGTTATATTATTTTGTCTATAGTTAGTATTAGCAAAGTAATAATGAATTTATTAAGCTAATATATAAAATGACTAGTATTTACCTTTTTTCAGTAAGCAGGGAAAAATAATCGTGTTTAGACTATATGTAAGGAACAGAATAGTACATTTATTTTCTAAATAGTTTACTTACTACTTTCAATTTTGTAATCTAATGAATTAGTTCCAATGTAAATACAGATTTAAAAGATGTATTCATTGTAAATAACTCTATAGGGAATATTTCTTCTTCAATGAAAATTTCAGTTTTGGAGATGGAAGTTTCTCATCAGTTCTAATTTCTCACCTATTCTAATGTTACTTTCTTGTGAATTCATGTTACCAAATGTATGCTGTACACACACATAGTAGGCCACCTTTTTCTCTTTCTACACTAATTTATTATTAGTTTTATATCATTTTAGTAGTTTTATTGTTAATATTCATAATGTGAGAACATATTCCACTATTTTCCATATATATAGAAAGATTGAAATGTTTTAAATTACTTCAGTATTCCATAAAGTATATCAGACCCAAGATTAGAATTTATAAGTATTTGAAATTGTAAAAGTTTTAACATTCTAAGCGTAAGACACCTCTATTAAAATGTTTTTCACAAACATAATATCAGTTTTCTCTTCCCTCTAAAGTGATATTTTAAGAGACATTTTCTAGGAATGCTTTCTAAAGTAGCTTGAAATAAAGTAGACTTTTAATAGTGATTATAAAATAATTTTCTTTCCCAGGTGTTTGTATTAACAGATTTCTGTTGTCCCTTATTTGATAATGTGTTTTTATCTTCCAACATATTTATACAAACTGAAATCTTTAAAAACAGAAAGTTCTTTTATTATGAATTTTTTTAGTATGTCTTAAAACCTGATCCCTATTTTTTTTTTTCCAATTAAGGTGAGAGGCCCTCCAGCTGCAGGGGCATTTAAAGAAAGACCAACCAAGCCCACAGCATTTCGAAAATTCTATGAGCGAGGTGACTTCCCAATTGCCCTTGAGCATGATTCGAAAGGAAACAAAATCGCCTGGAAGGTAAGTCAGGGCACAGCTGTGCCGGCCAGCTGCACCCGCTGAAGTGACATCTCCCAATGCCAAACACACTTGGCTGCTTAAGTAAATAAACTGGAGTCATTTCTCAGCACATGGAAGATGGTGGGAAAGCTCTTAGAGAAAGCCCCCCTGTGTCAGCCATCCACCTTGACTAACAATTAAATTATAGCCTGCAAAGAAGAAAATGACAGAGTTGCTTTGCCTTAGAGAGTTGTCTGCTGCCCAATTCATCTCTATTTTTATGAGAACCTGGCAGCCCGGCCTGTTTCAGGCAGTCCATCAAATGATGGAACTGGTGGCTGGATACGGAGAGCAACAGCCATTTATCTCCCCCAGATTTCACCTTCCTGCAGGACACTTCCAAATGGAAGCTTTAATTACCTAAATGGATAGGTCAAGATTGTCTGCTCCCTGGAAATGCAGAGTAGAATACAAAAGCAGGCCGATCCCAATCCTGGCTCTCCTCTCCGTCCCCGCCTGTGTCAGCAAGCGCGATGGCTGTCACACGTGCCCTGTTAGAGGCTGACCTCCACCGCCAAAGCCATTACAGCACGGACATTTTTCTGACAAAAGGTTAATTGGCTTCAAAATAAATGTATTGCCTAATGACTCCATTCTAATGTGGTTGTGTTCCTTTGTAAAAGGCTCACTGATGTTATTTGTAAAAACTTGCCAATCTCTTAACCGGAGAAGGCTTTTACATTTAATCTGAGAAAAATAAATGCTGGTCTCTAACCAGCTTCTGCTATTTAATTATTGTTGTTATCAAAGACTTTGCTTTTGGTGATATTTATCAACTAAAAGGGCTTCTCTGCCTACAGACAGCAAAGCAGTTGTGCACACTTATGAGTATCACATCAGGTTAAGGACAAGAAAAGGTTTTGGCCAACTATTAGTTAAATTAAGCAATTGACACATTTAACTGGGAAGTCCAGCAGTCGTGACCAAAAGCAAATCAGGAATTGTTTTTAATTAGTAACAAATAAATTTATGTTAAAAATAAAAGTACAAATCAGAGAAATCAAAGTAAATAGCTTAAAAAGGTGCATTAAAATTAAATTTTTCCTTCCTGTATAGACACATTGAAAGGATTATTGCATTATATCTAGTATGTCTTTTGAAATATTTTCATATTGTTATCAAACATTTCTAATTCTTGAGCAGTCATCCAATATCAGTTATTGAACTTAGAATTATTCCAACTTATATTACAAGAGGAACTTGGTAGTATCCTTATTAGGAAACCTTACTATAAAATTTTGGGGGGGTGGGAAAGAGGTGAGTAACATTATTATCTCCTTTATAATAGTGTCTGTTAGAATGTGAACTTGTTATGTGAAAATGTACGTATGATGAGAAAAAATTTATAGCGTGTATAACTAACTTTCATACTTTAGTCTTAATATAAGCATATATTTCCAAAGTTTTGTTTGGATTTTTGGATTCATATATTTGATTGGTTGCATGGATTTTGTGTTTGCCTGTCTATGTACTGGCTCATAGATATGTACTGGCTCCAAGATAATACAATGGAGTTTCTTCAAAACCTGATTCCTGTTGAGTAAAATAATATGTCATAATTCTTTATAAAAAGGGAGTGGCTTTTGGTGTTTTAGGTAATTATAACCTACACATAAATTGTATTAATGAAAATAAATTATATAGATTTACTATGATTCAAATAATTTTATGAGCAACCTTTAGAAGTGTAGAGACTAGAAAAAATCATTTTGAAAATAAATTATTAATAAAAATATGAGATGAATCATTTTCTTTATCTTTGATAATCCAACAGTCAGCAGGGATATAAAATGCTTTTCTTTTTTATGGATATATTAATTCTCTTAAGCTACTATTGATTATAGTACTGATTCAGCAAGCTAAAAAGTAATAAAAAGAAGAAACAATTTCTTTGCTGTCACTGGTAGTATAATAGCATAAATTTAGGAAAACATCTTATTCCGGAAGCTGTGGACTTCTTTTAGACAGTAGCTACTACATTTTAATTGCATTACTGTAACACTGAAGATAAGACATTAAGATTATTTTTTATTTTATTTATTTATTTTTTGAGACGGAGTCTCGCTCTGTCCCCCAGGCTAGAGCGCAGTGACACGATCTTGGCTCACTGCAACCTCCGCCTCCTGGGTTCACGCCATTCTCCTGCCTCAGCCTCCCGAGTAGCTGGGACTACAGGCTCCCGCCACCACGCCCGGCTAATTTTTTGTATTTTTAGTAGAGACGGGGTTTCACTGTGTTAGCCAGGATGGTCTCGATCTCCTGACCTCGTGATCCGCCTGTCTCAGCTTCCCAAAGTGCTGGGATTACAGGCGTGAGCCACCGCGCCCAGCCAAGACATTAAGATTGTTAAACATAGGCTTGGGAACCATCTGTCCATAGTTTCATATTTATTTCGTGGCACATTTGATGAAAGGACAATCTGGTGCTAAGTAGGAGGAGGGACTTGTTTTAGGATGCCATTCTTAAGGAAGAACTCTTGAGTGTTGAAGGAAGCAGGGCGATCCGTCCCCCACAAAAAACTAAAAGCAAGAGGCCAAGACCCTGCACTCTTCTCTTGTGTGTGGGCAGAGCACCGGTTTCTGGTCATGCAAACCTCTGGTCTCAATGTCATAGCTCATCCCTCACTGAGGACTGCTGAGGAGCAGTGCTTCCCTCCGAGGATACCGGCCCTCTCTCAACTCTCCTCAGACACCCTAGAGACTCCAAGTGGACTTGTGAGCACCTGAAATGATGCACATAACTAAGTGAGAAGCAGGTCTGTTGCTTTTATCAGTGTTTCCAGAGCCTGTGGCTCCGAAGGACTTAGGATGCACTGGCTGTAAACCCCGGCACAGGCTGCCCCAGCCTCTCACGGTCATTCCAGTCTGTGAATGTGCTGGTCTGGGGATCCCTCCCCAGGTCCTCAGACTCCTCTTCTATTTGTTCTGGATTAGCTGACCTGATCTTCACCAGGTTAGGAACCATTGTGTGTTCTTGAAATAACAAAGGCACTCTATGGTAACATCAGAAAGTAGAAGCAAGAGTTAGAGACAGACAGATGTCTTTGCATGCTTAGGTTTCTCAGCCCACGCCCTGCTCTCAGTACCAGTTTCATGCACATGGAAGTGGTCATTAGTTCCAGATGCCAAAACAACGTGGCAGGCTGCGTGTCATCGTCTCTGCAGCTTCGTCTCTTTCTTGTGGCATCTCTGAAGATTGCAGCAGTGTCTGATCCAACAGTCTGCAGTGGTGGAAATGTTCTACATCTGCACCGTCTAATATGGTACAATTGGCCATATGTGGTGATTAAGCACTTGAAATGTGCCTACGGAGACTGAGGAACTCAATTTTTAATTTTATTTAATTTTAATTAATTTTAATTTAAATAGCCACGTGGTTACCATATTAGACCATGCAGCTACAGATTAAGATAATGGCAGTCAAAAATAAATGCCTGAATCTGCTACCCAGATAGATAGAAGGCTATCACTGTGTTAGAATTTTTATTATTAAAGTGAAAAAACGGGACTCATCTGTGGATTTTTTGTCATGGTTTTCTATGCATATCATAAATTTATTAGTAAATGTGAGAAACGTTTTGCAAAATGTTTGTAGTGAAAATTTCTATATACTTATCAATGGCAAGTTCATGAGCTATGAAAGTTGAATAAATCTCATCTCGAATATGAAATCTACCGGCAAGCCCAGGAATAGCTTTTTTTTTAATTTTTAAATATGCATTTTCTAAATATCACTAAAGAATTCTTGATTATCAATGGTTGTAGTTATAAAAAAGCATAAGGAATACTTAAACAAAAAAAATGTTAATCTGTTTCTTTTGCTACATTTTCCTTGACCCCTCTAACATTTGGGAAATACGACTGTTGATTCTTTTGCTGTCTTCAATATCCACATTATTGGCAACAAGTGAGAAAAGAGCTAAGCTGTCTGGATAAGTTACAAAGCAGATAATCAGATGAACGATGGAATTTTAAAAATTGTGTTTGAGTTTTCTCATCTTAAATTGCCATCCTTTAATTTTCTGTCCTTCTGTAATATAAATCGCACACTTCTAATGATGGTGATCGGGGTGGGGACGGGGCTCTTTGTAAAGGTTTTCCATATGGGCACCTGGGGAGGGAAGAAATGCTATATGAATTGGTAAAATACATGGCCCATTGTCTCTACCTCTGCTGTGTAAATAAAGAGCGAAGAGAAGCATACAAGTGGTTTTGAAACGGTCTCTTCAATAGAGACCTCGAGAGAAAGAGATGAAGATAAATACCTGAGGCACTGTTAATTTTTAGAAATAACTATATCATATTATAAACCATTCATTTATTTTGAAGATGGAAACAGCTACACCTACATAAAGGTGTCTCTAAAATCTTTCACTTTCTAGGCATTTTGATGTAGTAGATATTGATACAGGTCATCTTTCTCCATGATAACGTGCTACGTGACAGAATATGACATGCACTAAGACGGTCTTGTTTTCCACTAAATTTCTAATAACCAGGCGTAAGAATGTCCCAGGTATCAGAGATATTTGAATAGGACGTAGATAAACCTGTAATCCTCTAGGAAAATCAGGATAGAATACCACCCTTTTATGCATGCAACAAAATCACAAACCTCTCAAATTTGAAAGGGAGAAACTCAAAATGGACTTGTATTTTGTCCAAAATCCTTCCCCACTGCCCGCACAGCACCCGATCAACCCACACCCGGCAATGTCATGATGGTCCTTGTCCAGAGTAGCAGACATGCCAGAGGCCTTTCTGCGTTCTTGTTTTTTCTTCTTTGACACGTAAATGATATTCCATAGCCACCTATATTGAAATGAATAAAACCAGAACTGATACATATGAGCAGGTATATGTGAGAATGGACTTAGGTGGCCTCTACTCACTGCCAAAAATGTATCTTCCTCACTGCCCTATTAGAGAATATGAAATCTCACCATGGAGGCAAATTTCCCCTTAGGTTAATATAGTAATTTTACCTGTTGATTAAAATTTAGATCTCCAGACTTTGTTTTGTATTAAAAAATGACTTATTAATCAGGTAACTATACACATTTAATACTTTTTATAAATAAATGTTGACATACATATGTCATTTATATATTTATACCCCACATTATTTCAAAACGGATTTAAATTGTCTTACAAAAAAACTATAAAGTCAGCAAAAATAAGAGATGAGAGAAATGAAAACCATAGGGACCCAAAATGGATCCAGTAACAATGTTAGTAAAAACAGGCATATCCTGAAATCCTATAAGGCGAGATCTTTGTCTGTATTTCTGGTTTATTCACTCACTTTCCTGGTACCTAGAACAGTACTGTCACAGGGCAGGTGCCCAGGGATATTTGTTGAATGCAAGTAAAGCATACAGGAGCTGATTGTTTTTAAGTTTTATTTCTCTTGCTTCGTAGGCCTCACTTTCCTTATCTGTAAGTGACAACAATATACCAGGTGATTTCTATGGCCCTTTTAAATTATGAGCATTCAAATAAGTTTTGTTTCATAATTATTAAAATAATTGTATTTTGATATGTTGGTGGAATACTTCAAAGAACAAATATTGAGTACAAATTTGCCACAGAGATCAATTCTTCTGGTAGCAAAATGGAAATATTAGCAGCAGCACATTTAATTTGAATCCATAGCACTTTAGGTTCCAGAATGATATGCAACGGTCTTGAGGGGGTTGAACTTTTACCAGGAGGATGCTCTTTAGGTTATACACGAATGCTTTCCAATGACTACTCATCCCTTAAAGTTTGCTTTCAAAATGACAAATTCGCTTCCCTTTCTAAAGGACTGAAAATATATGTTGCACTTGAACACCCAAGTAAAGGAAATGCTGTGAATAAATTAATTAGATGCATAAATCAGCCTTTATAATTTCCACTGATGGTGTCTCAGACAACACCTTTAATTATGTGTTGACTGACAATTCCATTCAGTATTTCTTCTCTGGCATTTTCTCCTTTTTTTCTAGTTCTTTTTATTTCTCAGCAGCATTGGTATTCAGGAACTATAAAAATCTCTGTCAATGTGACTGTTTTCATTGACATAACTGATAATTTCCTAGTAGGAAAAACAGTTATTGCATATAATTATTATAAAAATATGCACACATTTTCTTACAATTAAAATCAGCCCAACTGAGGATAGCTCATTATCTGTAAATATTACTGCATTTTAAAGTAAATCACACTGTGATGTGATACTCGATCCATTTGCTATCAGAATATTCACAAGATTCCGTAATTTTGAGTTATAATTTAGTCCCTTGGTACCTTCAATTTCTTAATGTTTCAATTTCTTAAGGATTTTAAAAAAATAATGCTATATCTGTTGCCCCTAAGGTAAAACTGATATTGACTTTTGAAATCTTGTAGGCAAATTTATTTGAGCTGAATAATTTGTTTCACATCAAGGAGAATGAATGTTCTCTTGGAATTGTCCTGGGTTTCTATTTCTTTTGATAACTGCCAAAGCTTGAGTTTGGATAATAGGACTTAGTAGAATTTGCAAGGCAAATTTTACAAGAGAAGTGACAATTTACCTGATTTTTGTACAAGAGATCTGCCACGTTCCCACAATTATTTCCTTTGTGATTAATTAATAGACAGAGCTTATTCCAGAAGTTTTGAAAAAAAAAATCCTCTGGCAATGAGTGTACTATTCTTAATGCCATTCTTTTATTTGATGTAAATTGTTACATCTTAAAAGTGTATAGCATGAAAATACAGCCATGTATTAGAAATAACTTTTATTTAAATTGGTTAGATGACCTCTGAAAACCAGATGAAAGATTTTCTGCTGAATGGGCTGGTGCTCCCTGCTGCCTATATAATTTATGTGAGAAATTAGTGCAAATGGTTCACTTTTATGTAGCAGAGCTGCTTGTAGCAAGCCTGCAGAAACAATTTTCCCCCAAGCCTCCATCTGTTCTTCAAACTAGGGCATACGCCATCTCATCGAGCTTGAAAGTCAACTGATTTATAACTCCTGGAAAGTGTATAGATTGAAAAGAAAGGTCGACTGCTGCTCTGTGACAGTGATTTGTTTGGCATTGGCTAAAGACAATTCACATTACCAGGGACCCAAGGGAAACAAGAAATGTTGTAAGTTTCAGATCTCAGTAGACTGACAACTAGAAGAAAAACAAATCACTCCTGCTTTTTAAGTCAGACGACCACCAGGGTTGAAAAGTAGGTCTTGGTAGTGTTAAGGGTGCCAAAGCTAAGCTGCCACCCATATTGTCACTTAGCACCTCATGAAGAAATGTGTCACTGCCCACCCTCTCAGTGGTAAATGTTGACGTTGTAGAAGTATCAATACTCTAATTTTTAAACACAAAATATGTGTCACTGCTTGTCAGAATGTTCTGTTTGGAGACACAAATTGGTCTTTGATGAATTTTCTGTATCTACCCAAGGATAATCTCCAGTTGTATTCCAATTAGTAATTTAATGAACAGTTCGCTCCTGTCTTATCACTCGTCACACGTCTCTTCTCTTTACTGAAGCACTATTGAGATCAAAAGTCCTTTGACAGATGACAAATGGAATCAGATTGGCAGTATGCTTGTAAACAACAACAAGAAAATCATTCTTTGTTTGATGTTTTCCTTTGAGTAGTCAAAGTATCATCCTCCCAGATAACAACTTTTAGTCTATTGAAGTTTTTGTTGTCTTTTTTCTACATGTATGTATGTTTTTTATTTTGTCGAAACTGTGTTTCACATGATAATTTTTAAGGAACTCAAAGGAACATTCATGGTCCTAATTAAGACAGGAGATTGATAGTGGACATACTGCCACAGGAATTCTAATAGTTTTTTCCAGTTTAATGACAACGAAAAAGACAATCATCTTTTAATGTGCAGGTTTAAGTTTTCAGCGGTCATTACTAAGACCTTTGGAAAGGAGATACCCAAACATGTTTCTATGCAAAGCTCCATGTTAGCAGGGATGCACATACATGGCTTTTCCTGTAGTAATTCTCATGGTATGGTGCCCAACCACGTAAGCAGGCTTGCCTTTGTGAGCATGTCATTACCATGTTTTTGAAGAGCAGAGTAACTACTATTTTCACAAAGTTCATTATGTATGAAGCACATTTCTTGCTATTGGGAAAAGTATAGAAATGGACAGAGTTGACAGAATCATTTTAAAGCCAACCTCTGCCCCTACTCTAAGAGACTGTCTTTACAACAAATACTCCTACAGAATTTCCAAGATTGGGTTCTAATCTGAGTAAAAGAAAACCCATCAACCTTTGTAGCCATAAATTCTCAAATTTTGAGTTCTTATTTAGATTGATCTCTCTCTGTTCATTCATAGTTTTAAGCACTTAAAAAAAACAGGTATATGGTTTGAATATTTCTGAATTCTTGAATATCTTGAAAATATAAAATTTCAACTTTCATGTACATAAAACACAATTTAATTGAAATTAGCATTCTTAAATTACAATTGCTTCCCTTCATATCTCTTTAGAAGATAACATCTTTGTATTCTATTAATGACATATGTTATGTTAGGTATATTATAACACATGTATTATAACATGTATTATAACATATATGTATATGTATAACATATAACATATGTTATTATGTTATGTATATCCAATTCCATTGATCTCATTTTCTGTAGAAATTCCCTTTATTTTCTGCCTGCACATTTGTTATTATACTGATTTGCCGTTGCATGTTACATTTTCCTTTTTCTGTATCTTCACAGATAATTTTGTGGTATGTGGAGAGATACTGTGTCAGAGATTTGTGTCAAGATGCTATGTATATATGCTGAAAAATTAAGACTAGCCTGATTTTATTCCTTTAATGTCAATGTATTGTTTGTTTGTTTGTTTTGTTTAACAGCCTTGGTAAATGCACTATTTTTGTGTAATTAAAAATTGCTTCCATGTATTTTTCTTTTCCTTTTGTGTATTCTTCCATTAGTACAGTAAGCTTATTGTCTACTTACTTGAAACTTTCTCAACTGAGGAAAGTTTTCTTTTGTAATATTACTTATTGTTACTCTGTCCCAATTTTCTGTTTTCTTTCTTAGAACAAATATTACATGTAGATTATACATTTATATTCTGTTCTATTATTTCTATCATTATCTCCCTCAATATTTTTATCTCTTTATCCTTGTTTTAACTTCTGGCAGAGCTTTCTTTTCTCTTCTTTTTTTTTTTTTGAGACAGAGTCTTGCTCTGTTGCCCAGGCTGGAGTGCAGTGGTGCAATCTCGGCTCACTGCAAGCTCCACCTCCTGGGTTCAAGCGATTCTCCTGCCTCAGCCTCCCGAGTAGCTGGGACTACAGGCGCCCGCCACCACACCCGGCTAATTTTTTCTATTTTTTTAGTAGAGATGGGATTTCACCGTGTTAGCCAAGATGGTCTCGATCTCCTGACCTCGTGATCCGCCTGCCTAGGCCTCCCAAAGTGCTGGGATTACAGGCCTGAACCACCGCGCCTGGCCAGAGCTTTCTTATGTTTTCTATTTTTGTTGGTATGGATCTATCCATTACTGCCACCAGTTCAAATTTTAGCTGTGCTTAGGTAAACTGCCCTGCACCTGGCCAATACCCAGTGTCTAGCATGAGCATGTTTCACCTGGTCTTATTCTGTTGGCCTAAAAGGGGACTTTGTAACTTCTGACACTGAGATAGCTGGAGTACACAAACACCTATAATCCCTAAAAGGCACAGGTACCCAGCTCTGTCTTTGCCTGCCTTTACCTATAGCATTTTGCTTGTGGGACACACTGCTTTCTAGGACAGAATGCAATGTGGTACCAGAAATCTCTGTCCCTACAGAGATTTGTTGTTGTTTCTTGAGTTGACTGTGAATGGATGTAGGAAGGGTGAATGGAAGTGGATAGTGCTTTGTCTTGAAAGGCAACTACTTCAAGGTAGCAGGCTGGTGGCCTAGTCCCTCCCGCCCCCACCATCACCCTTTTATTCTAGACCTTATGTTTCTGACCGGGCCAGGAAGGGGGATCAGAAAGTGTGGGAGAGATGAAAAAGCTGACTACCTACCTTTGGATTGGTGCCTCTGGTTGCAAAACATAAGTTGACTATGAATTGTGGTTTTCCAATCCAATTCCATTGATCTCATTTTCTGTAGAAATTCCTTTTATTTTCTGCCTGCACATTTGTTATTATACAGATTTGCCGTTGCATTTTCCTCTTTTTCTGTATCTTCATAGATAATTTTGTGGTATGTTGGGAGATACTGTGTCAGAGATTCGTGTCAAGATGCTATTTAAAAACACTGAGTCCAATTCATTTTTGTGCATTAATGGACTATATTCCTTTGCAGAGAAGTAATGTGATCTCATTAACAGGCTACAGTGACTTGTCTATTCATAAAGGAATTGAGTACTTATAATGGGAAAGACATGGTGCTGAGCTCTGTAACCTGCATAATATGAGTTCTGGTCTTAAGAAGCTTATTGACTAGAATAGATCACTATTCAAGGAAGAAACCGAAAGTCCTTTCAAAGAGTATATATCAAGTCTTAAGACAGATTGCTTCCGCTTGCATAGATCATAATTCTTAATCCTTTATGCAGTATGTGTTAAACATTTGCTGCTTCAGTGATCTGGTTCAAATAATTTCTGTAGACAAACTTTTCAAATTGAGAGTCTCTATAAAACTTTTGCCAGTTCATAAATGGTTATCTATTTCAGGGAGTGCAGCTTGCTGACACTTTTGTTTTTCTTGTATTTCAGTTTTTTTAATTGCCATATTAAGAAATAATAAATTTTACCTTTAAAATGACCTTTAGGTAGTCAATCCACATACCTATGTATCTACATATTGTGGCAATCCCAAGTATCAATAAGATATTACTGACTTCAGTGTTCTACTCTGTACTTTGAAATAAACACTTTGAAAAAAATTATGTTTTTACCTATTTGTGAATTTTAAAGGTTTATCGTGCTTGGGATTCAGTCTGATTTAAGTCTGAAGACTTCTGGAGTCATGATTAAATACGAGCTGGGCTTTCTCATTCCAGCTTTCACATCTCTGCATCTCCGTTCTCTTATTTTCTATCTTTTTAAATCACCGTGTTTCATTCACTTTTTAATTCACTGTGTGTTGTAGGTGATTTCCTCAACTCTGTCTTCCAACTTAATAATTTACTAGTTTAATCTACTGTATAATTTGTTGAAATTTTTTCAAATTTACTTTCAGTGAATATCAATTCTGGAATTTATATTTGTTTCTTAAAAAGATCTGCCTACTCTTATATTTTTCTCACTTTATGGTTTCTCTTACTATCTTTATTAGATTGTATTTTTAAGTCACTCATTTGAGGTTCTTTTTCACACTCATCTATTATCTTGAGCTCCTGGGGTGTGACTTGGAATCTGCCTTCTGTGGGAGGCCCTCGCGGCCTGGGTTGTGAAGGCACCCGTGTGCTGTGCTTTCAGGTTCGTCTCTGCAGGACACACATTCTGAACCTCTTTTGATGTGAATCAGCCTTCACGTTTCCTCACTGGGCTCCTGCTCACTGCTCTAGATTTGAGTTTCCCTTTCATTTCTGGGGACTTAGTATTTGCCTATCTTACTTTTGAGAATGGCTATGCATTTATTTATTTTATTTTATTTTATTTTATTTTTCTTCCCGTATTTATAGTTTTGGCCATATTGACCAGAGGTCTATTAATTCTGTAAAATTGTTTTCTCAATTAACTGAATATCTTCGCTTACATGCAGATTAAAGTACCATCTTGAGATGTAATCTTTCCTCAATGTCAGACCAATTCTAATACTTCCTCAAGTACAAAAAAAATCAATAGAATAAAATATGTTTTGTATTTCCCATGGAAGTCCCTTTATGTAAGCAAGTTACCTTTATGTAAGCTAATGTGTATTGCATGATTGTGTATGTGTGTGTGTAATCAAACACACATAAATTAAAACTCTGTTGAACATAGCAAAACTTGGGTTTGGAAAAATCACAAGGAAAAGACATAAAAATTTTGTGCCAACCCACAACTCTCATTTTTGTATGTATATAGTACGTGCATGTGTATGTGTGTATTTACATGTATATGCAAATATGTGTAGACATTTTGTTCCTATTTCAGTACTGGAGTAAAGATTTTTCTTTTTTCTTTTTTCTTTTTTTTTTTTTTGAGATGGAGTTTCACTCTTGTTGCCCAGGCTGGAGTGCAATGGTGCAATCTCGGCTCATCGCAACCTCTATCACCTGGGTTCAAGCTATTCTCCTGCCTCAGCCTCCCAAGTAGCTGGAATTACAGGCATGCGCCACCACACCCAGCTAATTTTGTATTTTTAGTAGAGACGGGGTTTCTCCACGTTGGTCAGGCTGGTCTCGAACTCCTGACCTCAGGTGATCTGCCTGCCTCAGCCTCCCAAAGTGCTGGGATTAGCGACGTGAGCCACCGCACCCAGCCAAGATTTTAATTGTCATACTGTAAAATTAAGGTGGGTGGGGTTATCCTAAGGAGACCTTTATCTTCTCAATATTCATATCTATTACTATGAATCTCTTGAGAAGCATTAACCCTTCCAATGGAAAACATCTTTCAAATGCTTTCCATTTGCAGTAAGTTGCATAACATTTTACTAAACATCATTCAATACTTTTTAAAAATCAACAAATTATAGCATTGGATTGGAGGTAATTTAGTGTTTAGAAATCATCTTCATAGAAATAATCACTGTAGACTTGTTATTAATTTTTATTTTTGAAGAGTTGCTTGGGTAATGATTAAGTAATTTATATATGCACAAAAAGACTTCATTTACATAAATTTTTATTTATATATTTTAAATGCATTATGAGAAGTGCTAGTGTATTAGATTGGTAATATTAAAACCACAAGTCAAAAAATACAAAAGTTAAGATTTTTATAATTCTATTTGGGAATCTCTAGCTTTTTCTGTTGGTGTGGGCTATAATTTCAACACTGCATTATTCTAACTTATTACATTTAATAAACTAACAATTGGGACTAGCTTCAAATCTCAAGCAGCAATTTAGTAGATGGTTCATTTCATGAGAAAGAAATATGGACTATGGTGACTATGACTGTACTATTGCAGAAATGGAAGAAAGTGAAAGTAAAATGTATTGGTTAGTTGCAATATTACCAGTAATATTTTGTCTGGCCAATAATATTAGAATGTAGATCAATTTGCACAAATAATGAGCTCCACGACCAAATGAATAATCCTCTATGGAATATACTAGTATTGCAGAAAACCTTTTTGGTAAGAAATTTTGCATGCTATTACTGTAAAGCATCATTATTTGGCTTCTTAAATAATCACTTTGTTCTTCTCATCACTTGATGTCTTGTACTTTATACATCAGACATCTCTGTGCATGTAGATTACCAACCATGCTGCCTCCCTTTTTGTCTCTGAACCTGTACCATGCTGGCCTCTCTTGAATGCCTCCATTGCCTCCATATCCACCTCCTCTGCTCAGCCTCTAACTGCTCATCTGCTTGCACCTGGCTCAGCTCTTACAGTCTCCTAAAAGTCTTTCCTGACTTTCCCAGGCCAGATTGAGTACCCTTCTTGGGGAAACCAGCATATGCTATTACTGGTCTCATCACTGAGTAAGATAGTGATCTGTTTTCACATCTCCCCTCAAGATGGGGGACTGCAGAAGAACTGGAGCAGGGTTATTTAACTTTGACCTGCCTTAGCCCCTGATACAACATGAGTAAATATTTTAAGGCTGATGTTTCAAATGATTCATTAAAATACATTTTTATACTTTTCATATATTTTTGTTTGTTGAATACAGTAGCAATTTGAATTTTCATCTACTTGCAAACCAAGAATGAGGGTGGTTATCTGTGACTTTTAAATTTTCTTTACAGGTCCCATAGATCTTTTGGTAGCTCTATTTATTTTTGTTTTCTTATAGAATGTAGTTTGCAGTACTTTTAAAACCTGTATAGTATCAGCTCACTGAATATTGCTGATTGCTGAAGAAAAGTGTTTGTTCATTTAAACCCCAGTGATCTGATCATATTTAAATTGCATTCTTATCTATGTGTTGTCTTTAAATATGTGCTGTCCAATTGGTGCTCATGTAACTTGTAAGAAGCATCATTCATTTGCTAGGCATTACCTGAGTACTTACTGGGTGTCAGACCCTGCTCTGCTCTGGAAATACAGCAGTGAATGAAGCAGCGAAATTCTCAGGGCTCATGGAGCTTCCACTACAGTAGGAAAACTGAAACAACCAAACAAATAAATATAGAGACTGATAAATGGTAATAGTATGAAGCAAAATAAAGCAGGGTGAAAGAGAGAGTTGTGAGAGGATATAGCACCCTTTTGTGGGGTGGTCAGAGGAAATTTTCCAAATAAGGTGACATTAATGTGTAGGCTATTTGGTAATATTGTCTAAATTATTTTTAAAAATAAGAGTCCTAACTTAATAATTTGCCCTGTTTAAAATGCAGTGATATCAAAAAGAATAAAGTGTTAAAGAGAATGCAATGAAAATAATCTAGTAAATTGTGCAATTTCAGGACCTAGTACTAAAAATCAGTGTAAGAGTTATAACCCGACACTAATGAATTAACAAATTATATTTTAATTAAATTTTTATTCCACTAAAACCCTAATTGAGGAATCATGAATGACTGTGTTTTGTACATTTCAACATAAATATTTTGTGAGTTTATGCAAATATATATTTCCTTTGTGAAAAGTACTTTTCACATTTCAAAAATAAGAAAAACCTAAATAGCCAAGCAAATCCATTTTTTGTGTCCCCTTTCTCTCTTCTTTTGAAAGTAAAATCGTTACTAGTGAGCAGATTTAGAAAAACAAACAGGAAATGATGAGACACATGTGAGCAGATAAAGTGTCATATCTAGATTGTCTTTAGAGAGGGCACACGAAAGCAAGCCCCAAATGCAGGCAAGGCCTGGCCTGCAGGGAAGACACATTCAGATGGAGTCACAGCTCATGAACTTTTTTGGGATACAAATATATAAAAGTTTCTGCTATGGCAGTTGTATAACAGGATGTATCTGAGAAATTAATGGAATTAAATGAAAAGAGATGAAACTGAGTATTAAAGACGTGCACTATTCATTTGTTTGTTCTGAGCATTCTTTCATCCATCACACATTTCAGAAGGTTGCAATTTATTAAGTGCAGTGAAAATCACTGGTGATATAGGCCTTTGTGCAGTGTATACAATTAGTCATAAGTACAGTCATGAGCTGCATAATGTGGTTTTGGTGAACGATGAACTGCATATTCGATGGTGGGACCGTAAGATTATAACAGATCTGAAAAATTCATATTACCTAGCAATGACATAGCCATTGGAACGTTCAGCAACATATGTTGCCTTTTCTCTTCAGAGATAAGGATGTTCTTTTTCTCCGGGTATAGGAAGGGCACCCCTCACATATGAGGGTCTTATGACCGGCTTTAGGAAAACAAGGTGGGAGAATGTGTGAGAGAACTTCCTGCTTCTTCCATTTTTAAAGATGTGGCATATTTGGGGATCGCTGTCCTGACCCTGTCATCACTCAATCCCTACTTTGGACTTTAGATTATCTTGCAATGCCTTCTCATTATTATTTATTCAAATGGGACCCTAACACAAAACCAATGTGGTATAGAAAGTTAACAGCAAGAAGGGCTAGTGTCTCTGAGGCTGCAGTAAACAGGAGGAAGGGCGTGGTCCACTCTCAGAATGCTGTCATGGTTCAGAGCTGAGGGATTTAATATTGTTTGGGTATTTTTTTCTCTTCTCTCACCCTCTTGCCCCATTCCTCACTTTATAGCAACACCGATGTATTTACCAACCTCAAGTGTACTAACTTGAGCAGTTTGGGGAATCGGGGATTAAGATCTTGTGCTTCTTGGGGCCCTGGGGACAATGGTTGAACTGTGTCAGGCAGCCAGACTGGAATCAGGTGGAGTCACTGGCAGGTTAGAAGCCCTTAATTTTGTCATGCCTCTCACTTCCTGTGACCCTGACCTGCCCCTACCCACTCACCCACATGGCTCCAGCCATACTGGCTTCCTTGATTTTCCAAGAAAACAAAACTCCCAGGTCTCCCGCTGGCCTTCATCAGGAATGAGTTTCTCCAACTCTTGGCCAACTTCCCCTCTTCAGGGCTGTGCTCCGATATATCAAACAGCCATCCTTGGCACCCATTCTCATCCCCCTCTCCCCAGGGACACAGTGATGTTTCTCCAGAGCTCAATACCATGCCTGTCCCAGGCAAAACACTGGGATAAGAAAGACATTTTGTCTGTGGCTCTCGCTACCATCCAGTAATAGCTCCAAATGATTTTAGACAGCAAGGATTAAAGGATGGTGATCTAGTTGAAAGTGTGCAGGCATGGTGGGGGGTAGACGTCTTACATTAAAACGATGTTTACTTATCAAGCATTTAGTTATTTGGGCGGCTTTGGTGGAGGGCTCAGTTGAAGGAGACGAAGTTGGGGAGAGAGGACTGAGACATCCTGAGACATCCCTTCTAGCTGCTGCTGGAACCTTCTTACTTTTCTTACTTTCAACAAACACGTTCTCAGCTCTCCTTTATTTAGTCATGAATTTACTCATTTATTCAAGAAACATGCGTTGAGCATCTTTGTTACTGCCATTAGTTCCAATAATATCTTCTATTTCTAATCTGCTTCATTTTGTCCTATTCTGCCTGCTATTAAAACCCACCTCTTCTGTGAGAATCCCATAGATTATTGTTATTCTTCTAACATACCGTTCATTCTTTAAACCCAGAAGAGTGCAACTTTCATGATGGTATTTGGAGCACGGAGGCAGGCAGGTAGGGTTTAGAGGGTAAGAGGGAGACAAGCAGAGCTGAAGGGTTTTGAAACTGCCTTCAAAGCCAACGCATACACCACCACTTATTCATTCTAAGATAGGTCTTTGTGATTAAAATTTAGTGATGTTCAATTTATATTTATTGCTTTTCATTGTTTTATTAAATATTTCATTCGACAAGTACTTATTGAGCATTTATGATAAGCCAGACATTGATTAGATGCTGTACATACAGCATCTAAATTCTTGCCCTGGTAGTGCTTGAGATCTTGAATAAGGTGAAATCATAAGAATGCCATATTATTTCTTGGCATTAGTGAAACTTGATACATTTATTTTGTTTCTTTGATTAAACTTCCTTTTGTAAGTTCCAGGATACATGGCAGGATGTGCAGATTTGTTACATAGGTAAATGTGTGCCATGGTGGTTTGCGGCACCTATCAACCCAGCACCTAGGAATTCAGCCCAGCAAGCATTAGTTATTTATCCTGATGCTCTCCCTCCCCATGCACCTCCACCCCACAAGAGGCCCCAGTGTGTGTTGTTTCCCTCCCTGTGTCCACGTGTTCTCATTGTTCAGCTCCAACTTGTAAGTGAGAATATACGGTGTTTAGGTTTTCTGTTCCTGAGTTAGTTTTCCAAGGTTAATGGCTTCCAGCTCCATCCATGTTCCTGCAAAGGACGTAATCTTGCTCCTTTTTATGGCTGCATAGTATTCCTTGGTATATATGTACCACATTTTCTTTATCAAGTTTATCATTGATGGGCATTTGGGTTGATTCCATGTCTTTGCTATCATGAATAGCACTGAAGTGAATGTACACATGCATGTATCTTTATAATAGAATGATTTATATTCCTTTGTGTATATACCCAGGAATGGGATTGCTGGGTCAAATGTATGTCTGGCTCTAGGTCTTTGAGGAATCACCACACTGTCTTCCACAATGGTTGAACTAAATTACATTCCCATAAACAGTGTAAAAGCGTTCCTATTTCTCCATAGCCTCTCCAGAATCTATTGCTTCTTGACTTTTCAATACTCGTCATTCTGACTTGTGTGAGATGATATCTCATTGTGGTTTTGATTTGCATTTCTCTAATGATCGTGATGATGATGATGTTGAGCTTTTTTCATGTTTCTTGGCCACATAAATGTCTTCTTTTGAGAAATGTCTGTTCATGTCTTTTGCCCACTTCTTAATGGGGTTGTTTGTTTTTTTAAGAAAAGACATTTTTTAATCAATTATTTTTCATGAAATCTAAATATGCCTTATCAGTGCTCCAATCTGTGTGGGCTGGTTGTTTCTAAATTTTATTTTTAATAATTGAGTGATATTAAATAAAATTCTTGCTATATTTGGTTTAAAATGGTTTTGATGTTTAGCTTTTGTTAGTGGCATTTACAAATTCTAAACAACTTGTACCACATCTATTATATTCTTTAGCTTCTGCTGGGATTTGCTGTGTAAAAGAGAGTGGGAACAATGTAGCTCACATTATTCTGATAATTAACATCTGTGAAGGACAAGCTTCTGCATAAATTTTTCCCATAATGGGAGGAAGTGAATAGAAACAGAATGAGCATTGTGAGCTATGGTTTTAATATTTAAAATATTTTTCTCTTAGGAACTGAACCTCTAGCTTCTGCACATAAAAGCAGTCTTTTTTTTTTTTTCATTTTTTTGCCCAAATAAAGATGATTCCAAATAAACTATTATATTTTGTTTGATGTCTTCCTTTCTACTCAACAAAACCAATGATTTGCAATTTGAATAACTTTTCAAGCAATTTCTCTTTGTTTTTTAAAAATCTTTTTTATATAATTTATGAAATGAAGATTTAATCAACATTTGAAAGGAGTGATGCCATCTCGATATTTTTACTTAAATTTCTTTTACTAGACCTTTCACAGTGGATTCAGGCATAAGTGCAGGGTTTTAAACTTTTTCCCCTATCAACTAATAATGAGGTGAGTTATGAAAAATAATAATTTGTCATAATTTCCAAAAGAAATTATTACAGCCTTCCTATTACTAGTGTCAAAAGATGAATTAACTTTCTTTTGTTACCTAACCATAGCCATGTTGCTAACTTGATCTCAGCTCTCTTGGAAAAATGAGAATACTTCCATATTTAGGCAATATTCCTTCTAGCTGTTAAGATGACTTCAGTTTAATTTGGTTGTCTTTCTTCTAGTAACTGCCTCATTCAGAGAAGATATTACCAACACTTTTTGTCACTTTTGATTCCCCTCTGGAGCTCTTTTATTCCCCTTGCCTTGATAACTTGTTTGTGCAGACTTTTCTGGAATTGGAGCATTGTTTGTATCTTTTAAAAAACAATATGCTAATTATTTTGAAAAAACAATATGTTGTTTCTTGACTTTTTAGTAATTGCCATTCTGACTGGCATGAGATGGTATTTCATTGTGGTTTTCATTTGCATTTCTGTAATCATCAGTGATGTTGAACCTTTTTTCATATGTTTGTTGGCTGCATAAGTGTCTTCTTTTGAGAATTGTTTGTTCATGTCTTTTGCCCACTTTTTAATGGGACTGCAATTAAAAAAATATGTACTTAAAAAAACCAATATGTTAATTAATTTGAATTTTTAGGACTTTTTTCAGTATAACAGTTTTACTTTTACTGATGATATTTTTATAAGTATTGATGCAATCTTATTTCTTTTCTTTCCTAAAATTGTGGTAAAGGCCCATGATGTAAAGTTTAACATCATAACCATTTGTAACTGTACAGTTCAAGTTGTGGTAAGTGGTAAGTGCATTAACGTTGTGCAACCAATTTTCCAAACGTTTTTTCATCTTGCAAGACTGAAACTCTATGCCCATTAAACAGCTCCTCACTCCCTGCTCCCCACATCCCCTGCTAACCACCGCTTTACTTTCTGTCTCTCTGAAATGGACATAATGAATTTCATAAGAGATTTTTCATGTACGTTAGGTGCACAGTGAAGTGTATTTGTTTTTGTATAGATTATTGGCAATATGGCCTCCAAATGTTAAAAAAGAGAAGAAAGTTAAGTCAGTTATGTTTTCTACTTGGAATGTTTAGCAGCCACAGAGAGTTAAGTAAGAAAACTGTACCTGTACTAAAAAATTATCACAACATATGAAATACATATAATTTAATTAGACATTAAAATATCAGGGTAAAAAGGTGTTTTTAAACCCTGTCTAAAACATTATATACATTGTATAACATTGCATACATTGTATAATGAATGCATACATAAAAGGTTATAAAACCTTTAAAAATGATATAAGTTGTTTTAGGCCAGTTGAATTAGCTACATGCCATTTCCCAAATATGCTGTTTAATATCCCTTAAACCAATGGGCACATGTACGTGTGTATTTTTGTATTCAATTCACTTTTACCTGCAAAGACCCTGATTCTGACATCCTTATTAAAACTTGGAATTGTTTGATTTTTTTAAAAGATTTGATAATTGCAAAGGGTATCTAGTTATGCCTCAAGATCACTGGCCTCTCTCTATAGCATTTTGCCAAAAATACTCCTTAAAGCAACTGTCCTGTATCTGAATGTAGATTCTATTATATTTCCATCCAAGCATTTTTGCTAATATCATTTGTATGTTACTTTGATGTAATGAAACCCAGAAGGTGCAATTTCATGTTAAAGAGCATAATCAGGGCTTATCATGTCCTAATGCCAAACCAAAATTTGGTTCTAATGTAAAACTTGATAATAAAATTTGAAACCAAAGGGGTTTTCCTGATTTACGTAAACTATTAAATCCCCTTTATTTTGGCATATTAAGTTAAAATAAACTATAAGAGTAACTTAAACGAATATGCTTACTTACATTTTTATTATTCTACTTGGCCTCATTGAGCCCTGTTTCAAGGACTTAACTCAATGCTCATTTGGTTACTCTTTTTCATTTTCCCATTTCCTTCCATTGTTTGAAGCTTGGAATAAATTATACAAGCTAAACTATATTATTTTTTCATTATCTTAGTCTTTCTTTTCTGATGATGAATATGCTTTAGAAATGGCTTCTTCAGTAAAACATTGTTTCATCAGTCATTGCTATCTGATTTAATATGCAAAGTATACATGAAGTATTACAAAGGAGAATCTTTACATTAAATTTTATTCTGTTTGCCATTTGTCATCCTTTGAGAATTATTTATAAAGCAAATTCCATTTCTAAAAAGAAGATATAATATGATCTGGTCCTTCTCCCTACTCTTTTTATTGCTATTTGTAATTAATAGTGAGGGAAGCACTGTCTTGAGTCATTGGAACATGCTAGGAAATCATTCTGTGATGCACACCTTCAAGTATAAGAAGATAAATCACAAACAGTAAATTGGATATCATGTTAAAATATCTGCAAACAATTTTTTAGCCATAAATGCATTTTATAAATATGTATTTAATTATACATCTTAAAATATAGGTTTGATCATGCATCTCGACAATGAAAAACCGAAGGGTTTGTGAAATTCTATCCTAAGCAGAGAAAATCTGTGGTTTTTTTTGTTGTGTGGTGTTATATATTACACAAGTAGCATGTGCTTTTTAATTACCTGCCGTCATCTATATGAACTTGTTGAGGAAATGAAAATTAGCTTAGGTCTTACAATCTACCATTGGACACATTTCAACAAAAAGTAATAACTCACTCCAACTTTTCAACTCTTTTAAGGTCTTCTGTTACAAATTGTAATGAAAAGAATCATACGATTTGTGTGAAATTCATAAGTAAAATTGTTCTTTCCAGTAGGAAAAAAGTGGTTAAAAATACCCTACTTTTTTCTTCCTCTCTTTTCCTTTGTTTTGGTCAGTTTTCCGTCCCACATCCTGTTCTGTCTTCTTTTGCTTTATTGTTATTAAATACTTTCCTGTCCTAAATCTTGAATTCTGACATATTTTTGCATGGCTTTAAGGTTATATTTGACTTTAACATGATTTTTATATATTTTTTACTTATTTTTGGTAATACTTCATACATTCATTGTGCAGCATTTTGAATGGGAAAAAGAGATAATCACTTTTTCTCTTCTTTATTCCTTCGAATTTTCATTATTTCCCTCAATTTATAAATCTTTATAACTTAGGCTTTCTCCCCTTTCTTTTTCGCAATTGGGTTATGTTTTCACATCCTGGGTCTAGCTTGGTACAGGGGTAGTCAGAGGGCTGTGACTTCAGGGAAGCAGAAGCCTCCTCCTCTTCGCATTCTCCTCAATATCCATAACTGTTGCTTGGCGCGTTGGCCCAGAGGGGTGAGGTAGGAACACCTATCTGAACACTTCCCTTTCTTTCCTCTTCTGCCTTCCATGATCGCTCAAGCTGAGGGATTCAGCTTTCAGGTTTCCACCACTTTTACATCATACCGTCCTTTCTGCTACTCAAAAGTACCAAAGAGTGGAGGTGGAGGGAAGAGCCCTATGTCATTTAGAAAGAAGTTCCATTATCTTTTGCTTCTCTCTGCTTCATTTCCCTCGATTTGATTATTTTTTATACCTTCAATCTTGCTCTTTTAGTCACATCCCTTCTTGTTTTTTGTATTTTTCATTTGATTTAAAAGAGTGTTTTCTTAGCATATTCTTACAACTTGTGCTGTAAAATTTTATTCAAAGATTATCATGAATATTAGGAAGAAAACCAGATAAATTCTAAACCATTTTTCTGTCTTCAAGTATAAAACTAATATTCAGATATTAGTTTGGGGATTTTTCACAATGTTACAAAGCTAGTGAGTAGCCCTAATGGAGCTAGAACCTAGGTCTGCTATATCCAGTCCTTTCTTTCTATTATAGCACTAAAACTCTTGCAGCTGAATGTTAGAGAAGACTCATATGCTTCTTTACAGAAAATTTAAGTATTTTTTTTTAACAATGGTTGACCTGATTCAGAGATGGAAATGTAAATAATTGGATGTAATAAGTAGGGAATAATGTGGGATAAGATTAAGTGGAAAGGCGGAAGCTGGATTGTGAGGGGCCCTGAATGACAATCTGAGGTAGCGCATTGTCCTGCGTAGATAGTGGGGGAGATGATAAAGAAGGAAATTAGTGTTATTAAAGTCTATGTTTCAGGCACTAACTATTGTGAATCAAGTATTTTATTAAAGAACACCGAGTATATATGTAACACGCGGTGCTGATAAAGAGTATTTGGGTTGTCACCAGCATGCATGTTGAATTGGACTCTAGCAGCTGTTTCAACAGTCCACACATTAAATGATAAGGAGTTGGAGTGGAAAGATGGTGGAAGAGGAGATAGAATTGGCAAATAATAGAATACTAGTGATCAAGAGGAGGGAGACATAAAGGGTGAATTCACAATGTTAGCAGCAGAGGATGAGATGCAAGTAATCTATTTCTTTTAAGCAAGAGCAAAATAAAAATCTCATAATTTTTAGTTGGATTTGACAGAATAATCCTCACAACTTATCTGGAAAAATTAACAAGCAAGGAAATCAAATGACATTTTCCAATAAGTTAATAAAAGGTAGACTTATCTCAATTAAGTTTCAACAAATTTTAGAAAGGAAATAGAACTGAGACAACCTTAAATTATCTCTGAAGGAGTACATACACACCGACCAGTCATACACCTCAGCACATGTTTTAAAAACTAGAGGGGCCTCACACAACAGCAAGGAAAGGTAAACAGTCATCAAAGGCATCTGGAAACAGGATTAATGACTTGGAAGGAAACAAGAAATTGTTAGCATTCCTGTTGCCATATATTTAAATAAATTATAGGTGATTTTGAAAATAAATACAAAGAATCAAGGTAGAGAAAATAAAGAGCATTTCCTTATTGAAATGATACATCATATTTATTTTAGAAAAATTAGATAATATAGAAAAATGTAGGCAAGGAGGAAAAAAAGTTTCTACCAGAAGGAACCAGTGTTAATGTTTTGGCAGATTTTCTTCCATATTATTCTTTCCTATCTTAGTTGACTTATTATTACATATCATTTTATATTCAACGTAAGTATTTTTTCAGGTATAGGAGTTTATGCCAACTGCCGTAGAAAATAATCCTCTGAATCTCCGTGGCTTGACATAGTAAGGCCATCTGTCACTCATCTGTCAGTCCAGTGGGTCATGGACAGGCCTCTGCTCCAGGCAGTCACTCAGGGACCTAAGTTACTTTGATTCTTTTCCTGAATCCTCTCCTGTATCCTTTTCCCATACATGTGGGAGGAGAACATGTAGGCTAATCATTATGAGGGACGTTTATGGTCCCAGACTAGAGGTTCCATTCTTCACTTTCATCTACTTTTTGTTGATCGGAAATCAGCCAATCACATAGCCATGAATAACTTCAAAGAAGGCTGGGAAATACAGTCCAGCTGTGTACCTCAAAGGAAAAGGGAAATGGTCTGAACAGTGAGTCTTTCCCACACTAGTTATTAGAACCCCCTTATTAACATCATTTTTTTTTATTATTATACTTTAAGTTTTAGGGTACATGTGCACATTGTGCAGGTTAGTTACATATGTATACATATGCCATGCTGGTGTGCTGCACCCACTAACTGGTCATCTAGCATTACGTATATCTCCCAATGCTATCCCTCCCCCCTCCCCCCACCCCACCACAGTCCCCAGAGTGTGATATTCCCCTTCCTGTGTCCATGTGATCTCATTGTTCAATTCCCACCTATGAGTGAGAATATGTGGTGTTTGGTTTTTTGTTCTTGCGATAGTTTACTGAGAATGATGATTTGCAATTTCATCCATGTCCCTACAAAGGACATGAACTCATCATTTTTTATGGCTGCATAGTATTCCATGGTGTATATGTGCCACATTTTCTTAATCCAGTCTATCATTGTTGGACATTTGGGTTGGTTCCAAGTCTTTGCTATTGTGAATAATGCTGCAATAAACATACGTGTGCATGTGTCTTTATAGCAGCATGATTTATAGTCCTTTGGGTATATACCCAGTAATGCGATGGCTGGGTCAAATGGTATTTCTAGTTCTAGATCCCTGAGGAATCGCCACACTGACTTCCACAATGGTTGAACTAGTTTACAATCCCACCAACAGTGTAAAAGTGTTCCTATTTCTCCACATCCTCTCCAGCACCTGTTGTTTCCTGACTTTTTAATGATTGCCATTCTAACTGGTGTGAGATGGTATCTCATTGTGGTTTTGATTTGCATTTCTCTGATGGCCAGTGATGATGAGCATTTTTTCATGTGTTTTTTGGCTGCATAAATGTCTTCTTTTGAGAAGTGTCTGTTCATGTCCTTTGCCCACTTTTTGATGGGGTTGTTTGTTTTTTTCTTGTAAATTTGTTTGAGTTCATTGTAGATTCTGGATATTAGCCCTTTGTCAGATGAGTAGGTTGCGAAAATTTTCTCCCATTTTGTAGGTTGCTTGTTCACTCTGATGGTAGTTTCTTTTGCTGTGCAGAAGCTCTTGAGTTGAATTAGATCCCATTTGTCAATTTTGTCTTTTGTTGCCATTGCTTTTGGTGTTTTAGACATGAAGTCCTTGCCCATGCCTATGTCCTGAATGGTATTGCCTAGGTTTTCTTCTAGGGTTTTTATGGTTTGAGGTCTAGCATTTAAGTCTTTAATCCATCTTGAATTGATTTTTGTATAAGGTATAAGGAAGGGATCCAGTTTCAGCTTTCTACATATGGCTAGCCAGCTTTCCCAGCACCATTTATTAAATAGGGAATCCTTTCCCCATTGCTTGTTTTTCTCAGGTTTGTCAAAGATCAGATAGTTGTAGATATGCGGCGTTATTTCTGAGGGCTCTGTTCTGTTCCATTGATCTATATCTCTGTTTTGGTACCAGTACCATGCTGTTTTGGTTACTGTAGCCTTGTAGTATAGTTTGAAGTCAGGTAGTGTGATGCCTCCAGCTTTGTTCTTTTGGCTTAGGATTGACTTGGCGATGCAGGCTCTTTTTTGGTTCCATATGAACTTTAAAGTAGTTTTTTCCAATTCTGTGAAGAAAGTCATTGGTAGCTTGATGGGGATGGCATTGAATCTGTAAATTACCTTGGGCAGTATGGCCATTTTCATGATATTGATTCTTCCTACCTATGAGCATGGAATGTTCTTCCATTTGTTTGTATCCTCTTTTATTTCCTTGAGCAGTGGTTTGTAGTTCTCCTTGAAGAGGTCCTTCACATCCCTTGTAAGTTGGATTCCTAGGTATTTTATTCTCTTTGAAGCAATTGTGAATGGGAGTTCACTCATGATTTGGCTCTCTGTTTGTCTGTTGTTGGTGTATAAGAATGCTTGTGATTTTTGTACATTGATTTTGTATCCTGAGACTTTGCTGAAGTTGCTTATCAGCTTAAGGAGATTTTGGGCTGAGACAATGGGGTTTTCTAGATATACAATCATGTCGTCTGCAAACAGGGACAATTTGACTTCCTCTTTTCCTAATTGAATACCCTTTATTTCCTTCTCCTGCCTAATTGCCCTGGCCAGAACTTCCAACACTATGTTGAATAGGAGTGGTGAGAGAGGGCATCCCTGTCTTGTGCCAGTTTTCAAAGGGAATGCTTCCAGTTTTTGCCCATTTAGTATGATATTGGCTGTGGGTTTGTCATAGATAGCTCTTATTATTTTGAAATACGTCCCATCAATACCTAATTTATTGAGAGTTTTTAGCATGAAGGGTTGTTGAATTTTGTCAAAGGCCTTTTCTGCATCTATTGAGATAATCATGTGGTTTTTGTCTTTGGCTCTGTTTATATGCTGGATTACATTTATTGATTTGCGTATATTGAACCAGCCTTGCATCCCAGGGATGAAGCCCACTTGATCATGGTGGATAAGCTTTTTGATGTGCTGCTGGATTCGTTTTGCCAGTATTTTATTGAGGATTTTTGCATCAATGTTCATCAAGGATATTGGTCTAAAATTCTCTTTTTTGGTTGTGTCTCTGCCCGGCTTTGGTATCAGAATGATGCTAGCCTCATAAAATGAGTTAGGGAGGATTCCCTCTTTTTCTGTTGATTGGAATAGTTTCAGAAGGAATGGTACCAGTTCCTCCTTGTACCTCTGGTAGAATTCGGCTGTGAATCCATCTGGTCCTGGACTCTTTTTGGTTGGTAAACTATTGATTATTGCCACAATTTCAGCTCCTGTTATTGGTCTATTCAGAGATTCAACTTCTTCCTGGTTTAGTCTTGGGAGAGTGTATGTGTCGAGGAATTTATCCATTTCTTCTAGATTATCTAGTTTATTTGCATAGAGGTGTTTGTAGTATTCTCTGATGGTAGTTTGTATTTCTGTGGGATCGGTGGTGATATCCCCTTTATCATATTTTATTGCATCTATTAGATTTTTCTCTCTTTTTTTCTTTATTAGTCTTGCTAGCAGTCTATCAATTTTGTTGAACCTTTCAAAAAACCAGCTCCTGGATTCATTAATTTTTTGAAAGGGTTTTTGTGTCTCTATTTCCTTCAGTTCTGCTCTGATTTTAGTTATTTCTTGCCTTCTGCTAGCTTTTGAATGTGTTTGCTCTTGCTTTTCTAGTTCTTTTAATTGTGATGTTAGGGTGTCAATTTTGGATCTTTCCTGCTTTCTCTTGTGGGCATTTAGTGCTATAAATTTCCCTCTACACACTGCTTTGAATGCATCCCAGAGATTCTGGTATGTTGTATCTTTGTTCTCGTTGGTTTCAAAGAACATCTTTATTTCTGCCTTCATTTCGTTATGTATCCAGTAGTCATTCAGGAGCAGGTTGTTCAGTTTCCATGTAGTTGAGCGGTTTTGAGTGAGATTCTTAATTCTGAGTTCTAGTTTGATTGCACTGTGGTCTGAGAGATAGTTTGTTATAATCTCTGTTCTTTTACATTTGCTGAGGAGAGCTTTACTTCCAAGTATGTGGTCAATTTTAGAATAGGTGTGGTGTGGTGCTGAAAAAAATGTATATTCTGTTGATTTGGGGTGGAGAGTTCTGTAGATGTCTATTAGGTCCGCTTGGTGCAGAGCTGAGTTCAATTCCTGGGTATCCTTGTTGACTTTCTATCTCGTTGATCTGTCTAATGTTGACAGTGGGGTGTTAAAGTCTCCCATTATTAATGTGTGGGAGTCTAAGTCTCTTTGTAGGTCACTCAGGACTTGCTTTATGAATCTGGGTGCTCCTGTATTGGGTGCATATATATTTAGGATAGTTAGCTCTTCTTGTTGAATTGATCCCTTTACCATTATGTAATGGCCTTCTTTGTCTCTTTTGATCTTTGTTGGTTTAAAGTCTGTTTTATCAGAGACTAGGATTGCAGCCCCTGCCTTTTTTTGTTTTCCATTTGCTTGGTAGATCTTCCTCCATCCTTTTATTTTGAGCCTGTGTGTGTCTCTGGACATGAGATGGGTTTCCTGAATACAGCACACTGATGGGTCTTGACTCTTTATCCAATTTGCCAGTCTGTGTCTTTTAATTGGAGCATTTAGTCCATTTACATTTAAAGTTAATATTGTTATGTGTGAATTTGATCCTGTCATTATGATGTTAGCTGGTGATTTTGCTCGTTAGTTGATGCAGTTTCTTCCTAGTCTCGATGGTCTTTACATTTTGGCATGATTTTGCAGCGGCTGGTACCAGTTGTTCCTTTCCATGTTTAGTGCTTCCTTCAGGAGCTCTTTTAGGGCAGTCCTGGTGGTGACAAAATCTCTCAGCATTTGCTTGTCTGTAAAGTATTTTATTTCTCCTTCACTTATGAAGCTTAGTTTGGCTGGATATGAAATTCTGGGTTGAAAATTCTTTTCTTTAAGAATGTTGAATATTGGCCCCCACTCTCTTCTGGCTTGTAGGGTTTCTGCCGAGAGATCCGCTGTTAGTCTGATGGGCTTCCCTTTGAGGGTAACCCGACCTTTCTCTCTGGCTGCCCTTAACATTTTTTCCTTCATTTCAACTTTGGTGAATCTGACAATTATGTGTCTTGGAGTTGGCTCTTCTCGAGGAGTATCTTTGTGGCGTTCTCTGTATTTCCTGAATCTGAACGTTGGCCTGCCTTGCTAGATTGGGGAAGTTCTCCTGGATAATATCCTGCAGAGTGTTTTCCAACTTGGTTCCATTCTCCCCATCACTTTCAGGTACACCAATCAGACGTAGATTTGGTCTTTTCACATAGTCCCATATTTCTTGGAGGCTTTGCTCATTTCTTTTTATTCTTTTTTCTCTAAACTTCCCTTCTCGCTTCATTTCATTCATTTCATCTTCCATTGCTGATACCCTTTCTTCTAGTTGATCGCATTGGCTCCTGAGGCTTCTGCATTCTTCACGTAGTTCTCGAGCCTTGGTTTTCAGCTCCATCAGCTCCTTTAAGCACTTCTCTGTATTGGTTATTCTAGTTATACATTCTTCTAAATTTTTTTCAAAGTTTTCAACTTCTTTGCCTTTGGTTTGAATGTCCTCCCGTAGCTCAGAGTAATTTGATCGTCTGAAGCCTTCTTCTCTCAGCTCGTCAAAGTCATTCTCCATCCAGCTTTGTTCCGTTGCTGGTGAGGAACTGCGTTCCTTTGGAGGAGGAGAGGTGCTCTGCGTTTTAGAGTTTCCCGTTTTTCTGTTCTGTTTTTTCCCCATCTTTGTGGTTTTATCTACTTTTGGTCTTTGATGATGGTGATGTACAGATGGGTTTTTGGTGTGGATGTCCTTTCTGTTTGTTAGTTTTCCTTCTAACAGACAGGACCCTCAGCTGCAGGTCTGTTGGAATACCCTGCCGTGTGAGGTGTCAGTGTGCCCCTGCTGGGGGGTGCCTCCCAGTTAGGCTGCTCGGGGGTCAGGGGTCAGGGACCCACTTGAGGAGGCAGTCTGCCCGTTCTCAGATCTCCAGCTGCGTGCTGGGAGAACCACTGCTCTCTTCAAAGCTGTCAGACAGGGACATTTAAGTCTGCAGAGGTTACTGCTGTCTTTTTGTTTGTCTGTGCCCTGCCCCCAGAGGTGGAGCCTACAGAGGCAGGCAGGCCTCCTTGAGCTGTGGTGGGCTCCACCCAGTTCGAGCTTCCTGGCTGCTTTGTTTACCTAAGCAAGCCTGGGCAATGGCGGGCGCCCCTCCCCCAGCCTCGCTGCCGCCTTGCAGTTTGATCTCAGACTGCTGTGCTAGCAACCAGCGAGACTCCGTGGGCGTAGGACCCTCCGAGCCAGGTGCGGGATATAATCTCATGGTGCGCCGTTTTTTAAGCCGGTCCGAAAAGCGCAATATTCGGGTGGGAGTGACCCCATTTTCCAGGTGAGTCCGTCACCCCTCTCTGACTCCGAAGGGGAACTCCCTGACCCCTTGCGCTTCCCAAGTGAGGCAATGCCTCGCCCTGCTTCGGCTCGCGCATGGTGCGCGCACCCACTGACCTGTGCCCACTTTCTGGCACTCCCTAGTGAGATGAACCCGGTACCTCCGATGGAAATGCAGAAATCACCCGTCTTCTGCGTCGCTCACGCTGGGAGCTGTAGACCGGAGCTGTTCCTATTGCGCCATCTTGGCTCCTCCCTTAACATCATTTTTGAGGCTACATAACATTCAGTGACCTGGGTGAATCTTCAATTACATAAGCATTCCCTTTTGTTGAATGTAATATTTTTATAAGCTGTCACCATTACAAATTAGTGGTTTTCATTTCTTATTGATCACAATCCTTCATTGTCTGCTGTTAAACATCTTAAAATGGTTATTTCTTATATTTTCTCCAGTATTATAGTTATTTATATAACATGAAGGCTAGTTCTGTACCAGTTACTCCATCATGGCTAGAAGCAGAAGTCCACTATGCTTTTATTATTATTTTTTAGGGTACTGTTTTACCTCATCCTTGTGTAAGTAGTTTTGTTTATTAATCCAATGTGAGTCTGCCTAGTATTAGAGAGTCATAAAGCTGATGTGCTTTTTGTCAAATAATCTCGTATCTTAGGTTCTAGAGGAAATGATGTAAATAAAGGTAAACTATGTGAAAAGTTTCATTTTTATAATGAAATGTCGAAAGCAGCCCAAATAGCCACAATAGGTAATAGTTAATTAAATAATAATAAATTCACTTGATGAGATATAATTTTGCAGACTAGCAATGCAGTAAAAATACTTCAGACAAAATACTAGGTTAAAAAACAAACAAACAAAACCCCACTGACCCCATTGTATATGCAACGGTACGTTCCAAAATTAAACCTAAATAAAACATACTCACATGTCCAAACCGTGAGCAAGAATCCCCCAGGCTTGCAAAATTCATTGCAGTGTGGCAACAAGTATCATCAATTTTTTTTTCTTTTTTTTTTTTGGTGGGAAGGATTTTCATACCTTTTGGTAAAGTTTGTTGTATATATAATTAAAACTCGTGTTTACTGGACAGATAAAATATTTGCTAAAAAATTTCAAGTATACACAGTTTTAGACATTTCTTGTATATATTGGTCATTAGAACCTCCTGTGATCAATGTCCATTTAGCTAAACTTTGACTTTTCTTCATTGTCTCAAGAAAATGTTGCTTGCTGTCACCTTTAATATTTCTAACACCACATCACTGCAGACGTCATGCCAGTTCTCCTGCTCAGAAGCTTAGGACTTTAGCCTATATGATCTGCTTAGCTTCATTAAAAGTATTTTCTTGAATCACATGTTTACAGTTTCATAGAAATGTTTTAATTTACCTCCAGCTGTTAAAATTAATTGCCAGTTTGCATCATTCAATCTCTGAATTTTCATTTGTATGTTATCATACACTACCTAATGTTTTGTATCCTGTGTTTTACTAAATATCACCTTATGATCATTTCCCAGCATCATTAGAGAGTTGCTGTGTTTAACATTAGTGTTCTCAGGGTAGCAAATGCCAAGACAAGATTAAACATGCAGGAAAAGTAGGAGGGTAAGGCGGAGAGGAGGAAGGGAGCCAGTGACAGGGTGGGGGAGCCGGCAGACCTAGGTGCGGGTCTGACCCCAGCGAAGGGGAGGGAAGGAAGGAAGCTGGACGGAAACACTGTGGCCTGCACTGCGTCTCTAAGGGGAGCTGGGCAGGGCTGTCAGGGGCCCTTAGAGCCACAGTGGCCTGTCAGAGGATCCTGCATCTCCAGGAGGGGGCCTGCTTTCCTAGCCCTGCCAGACTCAGTCACCGCTGGGAGCAGCCCCAGGGAGCACAACTTCACAGGAACACGGTAGATTTTACAGTGCAGAGCTTGGTCCAGGGTCAGTTACATTCCCTGCAGTCAGAGATACGGGAAGTGCATTCTCATAGCCCCCACACTTTGTAAAAATCTTTAGTGCACCTATGCACCTACCATTCTATCTTAAAGCTATACCATATTACAAGTAATTCTTCTGAGTAAGCCAGAAACTCAGAATCTTCCTTGACAACATTCTGTCTCTCTTACCTCCATAGCCAAACCATCACCAGGCCAAATGAATTTGGTCTCTCCCATCTCTCTTAGCTCTGACACTTTATATTCATCTTTAGTAGGAGACTCTAATAATCACCCATCCCCACATCGTATCCTGCCTTTTTAGATCACCCGTGCCACCCTCCAGTGGCTGTTTTATCATATTGCCAGAGTAATTTAGGACAGAAGGCACCACCATATTTATCCCTACCCCTTTCATCCACTTTTGGCTTTTTGTAGCCTTTTGGGTGGTGTGAAATAATCTTGGCAATTCCTGTAGTGCTTCAGTTCACATTATGCTCCCCACTGTTGTCTGTGCTCCGCACACTGTCCACTGTGCTCCCCACACTGTGATGCTCCCCATGCTGACCGCTGCTCTCCACACTGACCACTGTGCTCCCCACACTGTCCACTGTGCTCCCCACATTGCTGTGCTCCCCACACTGACTGCCGTGCTCCTCATGCTGACTGCCATGCTCCCCACACTGCCCACTGTGCTCCCCACACTGTGATGCCCCCCACACTGCCGTGCTCCTCACGCTGACTGCCGTGCTCCTCATGCTGACTGCCATGCTCCCCACACTGCCCACTGTGCTCCCCACACTGTCCACTGTGCTCCCCACACTGTGATGCTCCCCACACTGACTCCAGAGCTTCACACACTGACCACCTTACGGGTCCACACTAGCCAGCTATATCCTCCCACTTCAGCCATACTTTCAACACACTTCCTTCTTCCTAGACTGGTCCTTCACACCCTCTTCATCAAAGTCATTTACACACAGCTTTAAGGCCACAGCTTGAGAGAACTTTATTCAAGGATCCTTCCTTGACACTCTGTTGAAGTCATATTCCTTGCATGTGACCTCTTGCAGGCCCACATTTCTCATCTTTTAGTGTTTATTGTAACTTCAGTTTCCCCTTTTTTGGGATTTTTATGTTACTATAGTTTGTAATACTCGATACTTTGCTATGAGGACAGTGCCTTCTGTTTATTTTTGCTCAGCAATAACATCTAGTATGTGTGTATTGTTGAATGGATAAGGGGCCTCAGTATAAAGGTGTAAGCTGAGATACAGGTATGGGAACAGTTACAGTTGGAGGTATACGAATGGACGTGGTCCCCAAGGTAAAAAGGGCAGGAAGGAAGCATCACCCGAGGTGAACACATGTGTCCTGCATTCACTTAGGGAAGATAGAGCATGTTTGAAGGCACAAAGGGGCCAACAGCAGCATGCATTGCAAGATTCACAGTAGTTCTGAATAACCTGAACAAGGAGCTACTAGGGGCAGGGCTCAGGAGGAGGATAGAAGTGGAAAGAAACCTGACCATCAAGTATTTTATATACATGTTGAGTGATCTGGACTTTATATCAAAGGCTAGTGAGAAGCCCTGAAAGGTTTTAAGGAGGAAGAGGCCTGAGCAGATTTGCCTTTCAGAAAGATCATTCCATCAGGAATAGGGAAGAGAAATTGGAGGGGGCAGACCAGAGCCAAGAAGCCCCCAAGTTGCTCCTTAGTGACCCCGGCAGGAGTGAGGACAGCGGGAGCTACAGTGTCGGGAAAGGGAAGCTCTAGAGGGTGCAGCGGCAGAGTTATCACCGAGCTGGAGGCTGCGGCCCAGGAGAGGACAGAACGCAGGAGGCACAGCTCCAAGGGATGGAGCCCAAGAGGGGCCTCTGGATTTGGCAAGCATTCAAATCTCAACTTTCTCTGTGAGCAACAGACAAACTTCACCTTCTTCAAAATAGCACCAGCAAGGAAACACAATGACTTCTTTACCTTTTACCGAAATGTGTCCTTCAGCTTTAGGAGCAGCAGTCAGGAAAGGAAAAGAGAACATCTATCTGACTAGCTGGCCAGGAAAACACAGCCTCTGATCAGTGCACCATGGTGGGCACAGACAATAGACTCATGTTCAAAATATCACACGAGGTCTTGCACACTCCTTCTAGATGAACAGATGAAATCGGATCCAGAAATCTACTATGGGCTTAGAATAAGCACTTTGCCCTGTGACAAGATATCAAGTAAAGCTTTATCAAACTACATAGAATTCTTTCCAGTTTTGAAATTAAGGTAGCTACCTTTATTCTTTCAAAGACTTCCTTAAGCCCATTTTTATGAAGAAGAGGGAACTTTTGAAACACCTTATTTCCATTCTTTGTGATTTTACTTAGGATTCATGGATGGTAGTTCTGTTGCCTTAGTATAATTTAAGGCTTATTTCATGTGAAATCAATTGGATAATAATCACTTACTGAGTGATCTGAATATACACTATATGCCAGGCACTGGCCTAGATGACAGAAATGCAGATACTTCATACAAAATTGTCTTTGCCTTCTGAATTTCAGTGATTTGGGGAAAAGAATGCACATGTGAGGTCTGTGTATATAAAATACACAATCAGAGCAGATCTAGAAATCCAAGTGCTATGGAAACACAAAGGAGAGAGCAACTTTAGGGGAAAGCGAGAGATTTGCAACAGAGATGTTGAAAACTGAATTGATGCCAAATGGTAACTAAAGGTTTACCAGAGAAACACAAGAGAAGGGCTGGGGGCAGAGGAAGCAGGGTTTCAGGCAAGAGAAACAGTGTTTACCGTAACACGAAAAGACCAAAGAAGTTGACATTATTGGGGAACAAGTGAGCAATTTAGTACATTGGCGTGCAAAAAGAGTGAAGGGATGGTTAAAAAGAAAAAAGGACCCTTTAAGACAGTCGTTAAGCTTTAATTAATCACACACATGTAAAGGAGTGGGGAATATCACACAAGCAGACAAGTCCGTGTGCAATAAGACGAGCACGGAGACAGGGGAGAGAGAAAAGAACAGGAAAGGTGAAAGCATCTTGAGCTTCTGCAGCTATAGTCAGCTCCCTGTTTGCTCCACTGATGTGAAGAATGCATGCCCCATTCCCAGTGCCTGCTGCTGAGAAAGTCACGTGCAGTGCAGTGAGCAGGCTGACCAATTGCCAAACAGTGCACCCCCCAGGGGAATGCTGCAGAGCCCTAAATGATAACCAGCTGATATGGGTGATCTGCTCAGGCTTTTTGTGCTTGTCTGAGATTGGAGGACTTATAACAGAATAGTTCCTGTCTGTATCCATTTTGAGGCTTACTCTTCTTGAATTGCTGTATTTACTTTTTATATCTTTCTAAAAGTACAGAGATTATTGAAAACTACAATTTAGTATTTGCAATTATTAAAATCATAGTGGCAAATTAGACTATAACTTGTAAGTTTTCGATTTTTGAAATATCTAAATATTAAGATAGATTTAAAATATCTCAAAGAGAAAAGGCATGCTGTTTGCCATTTGACAGTAAATAGTCGCTAATCAATATTCTCACATTTTAATGCTCAGCAGATTCTGACAACTTGACTAGTAATGAGTTAATATATTGTTTTTTATAACTTCATTAATAAGAAGTTTGTAGGGTAGCATATTTCTATCTCAACTATCCCCAAAATGCTGTTTCTAAGGTCATGCTCAGTTCTAAGAATCCATAAATGTGCATGTGAATAGAATCACAAAGCAGCAGCATGAAAACTTATATTTAGGGGAAATGTTTGCTGATTCCAACTTTCAATGAGTTTTATTTGGGAATTTTACAGATAATATCTTTAATCAAGTGCATGGTCTATGATCTGTCAATCTCATGTGTGTAAGTAAAATCAAAGTTCATCAGATCTGTATTAAACAACTTATTTGTGTTCATAAAATATGTGTAGCTTTATAGTGAGTCTTGTTGGCTTTCTAATGTGATAGAGTAGGCATGCATAGATTAAAACTATGATATAGTGAAATATATAATTGGTCTTCAGCCCATTTCCTGGCATAGGGCTCCTAAAATCCTTAGAATCTCCAAAATGATATCCTTTTTTATGCAAATAAATCAACAGATGGCAGAGGTAGCTTCAGAAAGGAGCTGGTCACTAGAAAGACCAAAGCATGACTAGAGTGTTGGAACTTTCAGCCCTACCCCTGAACCCAGGGAGGGGAGAGGGGCTGAGGGTTAAGTTGATGGCCAATGCACAATGGTTTAATCAATCATGACTATGTAATGAAGCCTTCATAAACCCACAAAAGGACAGGGCTCAGGGAGCTCGGAATAGCTCAGCATGTGTAGGTTCCTGGAGGGTGGATCACCTGGAGAGGGCGGGGAAGCTCCACACCCTTTCCCCCATATCTTGCCCTATCCATCTCTTCATCTGTATTTTGTGTAATATCCTTGATAATAAACCAGTAAACTTAAGTGTTTCCCTTAGTGCTGTGAGCTACTCTAGCAAATTAACCAAACTAAAGAGGGAGTTGAGGAAACTCCAGCTTGAAGCTGGTTGGTCAGAAATTCTGGAGGCCGAGACTTGCAAATGGTGTCTGGGGGAGGGAGGAGACAGTCTTGCGGGCCTGAGCCCCCAGCCCAAGGGATCGGATGCCATCTCCAGGTGAACAGTGTCAGGACTGAATCCTAGGACACCCAGCTGGCATTTACTACAGAATTGATTGTTGCCTATTGGTGGGGAAATCCCCCACACATTTGGCCACAGCATTTTCTGTGTTGACTGCGGCGGCAGTGGGGTGAGAGCGGAGGAAAATGCTTTGATTTTTCCCTAACAAGGACCAATCTGATAGATCCCCACCTGCCACTGAACCTCCTGGTGAGCACGTGTCCAGCTGCGGCTGGTAGATTGTGATTCACAGGGAGGTCCACTTAATAAATGCCCAGCTCTCTCTCCTGTCCTCTCCTGTCTCCTTGCCTCCCTTCTGCACCCTGGCCACAGCTTCCCCAGCTCGGCTCCTGCTGTCTCTTCACCCACACTATGATCTCCTTCATTCCCACACACGTTCTCTTCTCTAGAGGACTGACCTTCAAAATAACTCATTCACATTTATCCCAAAAGAATTCTGAAAAATGGTAGTCTCTTAGAGATCTTTATTCTGGCATCTAAAATGCATGTTTATCATAGTTGCAAGCAATGTAATTTCTAGTGAAATACAAATATTGACATTTAAAAATAAAATTATTTTTTTCACTCTGTTAATTGTATCCAGCCAGTTCTTAGTACCATTAGGGATCTGATTCTCACCATCAGTCATTTTAAAAATACATGAATTTGCTTTTCTTTAATTGCCAGATTTTTATGTTGTTCTTTTATCCCCCTTGAAACTGTATTTTCATTTCACTCTCCTCTCAGAATGTTTTCCTAATGTAACTTTTTATTCTGAAAATTATTATTGATTATTATATGATATGTAAATTAATTTAAACATTAAAAAATTTCCCATAACCATGTGTCCAAGAATTTAAATATATTTAAAATGTGTATTTATACATAGACACCACTTTGAAATGGTGTCCATCTACCTATCTTATGTAAGAGAGTGAAAAGTATAGAAGGAAAAAGAAAGAAAAGAGAAAAGAAAAGAAAGGAAGGGAGAAAGGAAGGGAGGAAGGAAGGAAGGGAAAAGAGAAAAGAAAAGGGAGGGAGGGAGGGAGGGAGGAAGGAAGGAAGGAAGGAAGGAAGGAAGGAAAGATGGAAAGCTCCATCCTGGATAAATTTTGTCATTAGAAGTATTACTAATGCATAACTTTCAGAACACCTGTTGTTAACCAGCAGGCTTGTCCACAAGTAAATCTGAACCATGATGACTCTAGAACCCAGGGCTTGATCCTTCTCCGTCTCAGAGGGGCTACAATTCAATCCAGTTTTTTTGTGATCAGCTTCCCCCAGAACTGGTGATTGCCTCCATCTGACTAGAGTAGGGTGGGGTTTAAGTATTCCTATGCGTCCAGGGTCCTCAATTCTGGGCATCTTTCTCAGACAACTCCCAGAAGGAACTGGCACCAGCACTACTGACCCCCGGGGGCCAGGGTGCTGCCAGCAGCAGAACCCCCAGCGCAGGCTGAGAGGCTAAGACGCGCTTCTGTGGGATGGGGAGCCTCCTTCTCCTGCGGGACTGTGGAATTTGTCCTGAACCCTGGCAGGTAGAGACCACAAAGGGACCTACCTTGCATGAAAAACATAGATGTATTACAAATTGTGATAGGTGATTTTTAAGCATAAAAGTAACATTTTGTATGAAATTCATCTCTTGATAGTCCAGGCTTTTGTTTTCAATTGGTCCATACATGTGGCTGAATACTAATTTATTGTTAGATAAAATGAGGCCCAGCATTAATTTCGAGCCTATGTTTTATTTTATAGAAGGAAGCACAAGAAAGCCCTGTTATAATAAAGCAGATGTGAATGAAAGGAATTTTAACAATGTGACTCAATTCTTTGAACTTATCCTGAGAATTATATGCCAACAATCACATAGCAATTCATTAATCAATAATTCTTTTTAGTGATCTCATCACTGATAAACTGTCGGGTCTGCCTTCAATTTTCTTGAAAGCCAAAAACTAGAAACTGCCTGACTTACAACAGGATTTGCTGCCCAGCCGTCAAAGCCATTCCCCTTCTCAACACCGTCACCAACATGATTTCAAACGGAGCCTGTGGCCTGGTGACCTGGGGCCTTGCAGCCAGAGACAGTGAACTGTCAGGTTTGGGATGGATGAGAGATTTCCTTCTTTTGTAAAGCGGCAGAACTATTGTGAAAGGGGAGTAGAGAAAAGAGAACACCAGGGGCTTTCCTGAGCAGATCATCACTTTCAGAAAAGAGTACACTGAACGTTTAAAATCTGGAAATTGAACTCCTTAAAATTATTTGCATTTGGGTGCTCCTTGGAAAGCCTTTGTATGCCAAAGCTTTGTGTACCCAGTATAAAAATCTCTGCTCCAGAATGGCTTGATCTCCTTGGAGATCAGGCAGAAAATTCTGTCTTTTGCTTTTCTTTGCAATACCTGGTTGAACCACTGACTTACCGTACGTTTTAACTTTCCTGATATCCTACCATTATGTGTTACTATCAGCCTCGAATCATCCTTTCTTATTATTTTATTCACAGAACTGTGGTGTTCTCAGTCCTTGTAGCCAATCTTCTTGTTTTTATCACAGCCTTAATAAGACAGAAAGAAATATGCATACAAAGCTATACTACCAGATAACACAGGAACAGAAAACCAAATACCACATGTTCTCCCTTATAAGTGGGAGCTAAATGATAAGAACTTATGATCACAAAGGCGGAAACAACACACACTGAACTTAGCATCTGGGGGATGTAACAGTATGTACAACAAACGCCCATGATGCGTGTTTGTCTATGTAACAAACCTTCACATGTACCCCTAAACCTAAAATAAACATTTTTTAAAAAGCTATACTACCAGATATGAAACCTTGGGCAAAGTACTTAACCTCTTTCTAAGTCTTGGTTTCCTTGTTTGTATCTATGTATCTACCTCATAGGGTTGTCATTTATTATAAAGATGAAATAAGACCATATATTCTTGAACTTAGAATATTGTTGGGTCCATGCTAGGTATAAATATTAACTATTATTATTAATATCATTAGTATCATTATACATTTAAAATCTCTAACATATTCTATGGTCAACAGTTGAAGGAAATATATTACTAATCTATGTCCATAAATTTTACTTCCCACATATTTTGACTTAAACTATAGTTTTTATTTTGTATTTGCCTTATATATTTAGTTCTCATTAACCTGCTAGTTCTGGGAGAAGGAGACCATTTTCTTTCTGTTTTTTTTTTTTTTAATTGAATGATTTTGTTTTATTCATCTTTATTTTCTTGACTATATATAGTATCCTGCGCATAGTAAGCATTCAGTAATGTTTGTGGAATTAAATTTTGTCAAAGCACACATTTTTTATTTGTGAAAGTCCATGAGTAGCTAATGATCTATTAAACTGGGAACAGAAACTTCTACCTGCATAGTTCCACAAAAGAAAACCATCTGTGTGTTTGTTTAACCAGTAGAATTGAAAGATGTTTTGACTTTGCTCCAGGAATTAGAGTTCCATGTGACCTCCAGATAATGCTGTCTGACACATAATCAGGCCTCATAGAGAAGGAATTAAAAAGCAAGCATTACAGATCCTACATTATTATTATTATTTTTTGGTTTGAGACTGACTTTATTTCTCTCCAAAAAGAAATTAAAGCAAATATTTGTGTATGCAGTTTTAAAACCTATATTTGTTTTGATAGATGGTGTAACTGACATTCATTGGTATGTACGCATGAGAGTATGACTAAAAAGGCCTCTGTACGGCTAGTTATAAACCTTTCAGTTTAGTCTGTGGCTGTACCAGCTAGGCCTACTATGAATTGTGTTTGATTCTGACTTCACCTAAATGAGCCTGATGACACGTGTGAAAAGCCCCACTTCGCTGGTTTTAGCACAGCTGTCCCTTCAGCAGACCGTGACTTGCCATTGAATTTCACATGGGTAGTCCCTTTGGAGGTGCACAGAGTCCGAAAAGCGTTTCTTCCGCCCTTCCTCTTATCACCGTATCCTTGCGCTCTTCCTAGAGCAGCCGCTGCAGCAGCATCGCTTCTACGCTGTGCCCTGCGAGCGCGCCTGGCTTGGTCGCTGCTGAAGTGGCTGAATCTTAGGAGCAGAGGACTCCCCACGCAGTCTCATGTGAACCATGATTCCTTCGTTCACTCCCAGCCCTGCTGTTAACTAGCTGTGTGATCTTGAGCAAGCTGTTGCTGCCTTCTCAGACTCGGCGTAAGCTGGAGATAATGCCCAGCGCTGACACCTGGTAGAGCTGTTGTAAGGATTAGGTGGAGGAGTGCCTGTAAAACACTTAGCACCCTATCTGGCACACAAAAAGAACACAGTACATGATGATCGTGTTATAATTGTGATTTATGACACTGATGAAATTAGTAGGAAAAGTGGTCTCTGTCAGCCCTTCAGGACTTCAGTTTAGACTAATTCCTAATCTTATAGACACTCTTCTTTTTTGCGTATCAGAGATGTAAGTATTGTAAATGTGTCTTAAATTATATCTTATTATCTGATGAAGGAATTATTATAGCCATCTGTCTTAAACTGTTATTCTAAGAAAAAAAAATGGAGAAAGAAGAAATACAGAGTGAGGGACTTAAAAATATTGAAATGGCTTTCAAAATAAAATAATCCCAAAATATGGTACGAGACAACAGAGAGATCAGAGAAGCAAATAGCCAGGAAGAAGCTCTCCTGTCAATTTGAATGTAACTTATGACAAGGGACATGGGAATAGATACCCCCAATCGTCCCAGCGGTGTGTGTTCCCACCCCAGCTTCCCAGCGCCCCAACTCCCTGCTTCTGGGACGTTTAGTCATGTTTTCTCCACTGGAGATGCCTCCATAGGGCGTAGCAGTTCCTGGAGCACAGTGGACACTGGGTGGGAGACAGGTGATTTAACTGGCCTTCCTTGGGCACCAGTGAACAGATGTTGTTGCTAGTCAGTTATGGCCCCTTCTCACGGAGTCCGGGTTCAGGTTCTGCCCCTCATTTCTCAGACAGCGTCCCAGGCCACCTCCACCCATGCCGGACTTTATGCCTTCCTTGACCGGGAGGGCCACTTATCCTTGTTCAGGTCCAAAGCTGCGAGTTTTGGTTTTGTTGTTGTTGTTGTTATTGTTGTGTTTAGAGACTTGGTCTGGCTCTGTCACCCAGGCTGGAGTGCAGTGGTGTGATTACAGCTCAATGCGGCCTCGAACTTCTAGGATCAAAAGAGATCCTCCCACCTCAGCCTCCCGAGTAGCTGGGACTACAGTAGTGTGCCACCATGCCTGGTAATTTTTTAAATTTTTTGTAGAGATAGGGTCTCACTCTTTTGTCCAGTCTGGTCTTGAACTCCTGGCCTCAAGCTATCTTCCCACTTCGGCCTCCCAAAGTGCTGGGATTATAGGCATGAGCCACCGCACCTGGCCTAAAACTGCATTGTGCATATAGCCGTGGAAGTGCTGAATTGTATTGTTATCGGGTACTTTAATAGTGATACATTCAACCGGCTGTGTGGCCTTGGGAGAGTCATTTCAACATGATGAAGGTCCAAGCCCAGGAGATGATCAGAGAATCATCCCGAGTCTCCTGCAGCCCTGGAGCATCTTCTGGTAGCAAATAATCTAAACAGGTATCTTAATAGGTGAGCGGCACGTCTCGAAGAAAAAAATCTCTCCACACAAATGGTAAAGGTCTTGAAGGAGCACCAGATCTGTAGCGTGTGCAGCACCACACTTTTCATATATGATGTGATTAGTGTAAATAAGTAGTTGATTTTGCTTCATAAGTCAAATGATGATTCTTTTACAAATAGCCGTTTGAATAATTCTTTACACCTGCTACTTAGCCATAGTTTTGCTGGAAGGATTGAGTTTTCTTCTGAAGACACAGCACTACTCTGAAGCTTATTTCCCCCTGAATTTTGTTTTTCCCATTTTTGGCTGAGAAGGCATCTGGAGTGACTCCAGCGGGTTTACCTAGGTTTTCCCTGAAGAGGTTTAGGTGATTAGACAATAACAGAAGGAAAAGTAGAGTTGCCAGTAGGTGGCTCACTATGAATGTGCTTGGGACGGGATCAGACATGTCACCCCTCCTCCACTTAGCCTTTGTTTTCAATCCCTGCTGCTTTGAGCCTTTTTCTATAATGTCTGAGTCATTTGCAGCGGGGTGGGTAAAGAGGGGAGAAAGAAGAAAGCAAGCAAGCAACAGCCTTTGAGCTCCGGAATAGCAAAGGCCCCCATCTTGCTCCGAGAGTTCACAGAGTATAGCCCAGTCCGAGTTCTCTTTTCCACGCACACTTGCTTGTTCTTTTGTTCCTTGTGTCCTTGGCAAAGACTGAAAGAACTAAGCCTGGAATACTTGGGCCCTCCCGTGTCACTTAAGAAATAATAAGCCATTGTCCTCATTAAGCCACCCTTGTTTTAGCAAATAGAATCCAGATACCGGAGAGGGAACATTTTGAAGGGAGGCAGAATTAGAGTAGAGATGCTTTACAAAATTCCCTAGAGAAACTGCTTTGTTTCTCCTATTTTATTGCTCCTTACTGAGAAGATTCATATTCAAATGGGTTGGGGTTGTGAATAGCGGCTTGCACATTCTCATGCACCCAGGAAGGCTATGATTATGGCTAATTACAATGAAGAATGAAGCTCTAACAAGAGTGTTCCATCAGATTGTCATTCATGCATGAAGTAACTTAGGCTGGCCAATGGAGGTGTGATTTTGGTAATTACAAACAATGTGGCTATTTGAAAAATGCTTAGTAAATCTGTTCAAGACAAAATAAGGTCTAATTAATCACTTTAGCTCTGAATTCTCCAGATGATCCATTTGCTCTGTTTTTTTTTTTTTAATTTAAGGTCTCTTTAATAAACTAGATCTAAGATATAAAATATGTTCTCGTTGCCCACACTTAAATGCAACTGTGTTACCTGTTTCAAAGGCTTCTTAATTCTGCCAATCATGTTGCAACCTGCTTTTAATGCAACTTGACAGAAGGCTTTTAAAAATAAATGTGTGTATATTCTTGTTGTTACCTGACAAGAAAATGGTTTATGAAAAGTTACTGTAAAACATTAACTATTAATTTAGAAGCCATATTGGTATCATCATTGTGCTGACATATATTAACTCTTGAATATTCGGTGAATGTTGTGTTTAGCACTTAAGTAATGTCTAACTATATGTATTAGTTTGTTTTCACACTGCTATAAAGAACTACCTGAGACTGCATAATTTCTAAACAAAAGAGTTTTAATTTACTCACAGTTCCACATGGCGGGGGAGGCCTCAGGAAACTTAACAATCACGGTGGAAGGCAAAGGGGAAGCAAGGCATATCTTACATGGCAGCAGGAGAGAGATAGAGAAGGCGGAAGTGCCACACTTTTAAACCATCAGATCTCATGAGAACTCACTCGCTATTATGAGAACAGCATGGGGGAGCTGCCCCCATGATCCAGTCATCTCCCACCAAGTCCCTCCTTTGACCCATGGGTATAACAATTCAAGATGAGATTTGGGTGGGGACACAGAGCCAAACCAATCACTATATTATAGGGGAGAAAAAGTAATATATTTTCCTTACCTATCACAAGGTTCGTGGCTGAGAACCTTAGAGCAAAGGACAGAGTAACAAGAGAAAAACATCACATTTATTTAATAGAGGTTATGTGACATGGGAGCCTTCAGAAATGGAGACCCAAAGAAACAGAGATGTGTGTACTTTTATGGACAGGCATGCAGAAGTAAGACTGGAGGATGAAATGGCATGCTCCAATCGGTACAAACTGGGGGCAACTCAGGGAGACCTGATTGCCCAGTTTCTTCTCCGTGTTCCTGAGTGACATTCCTTCCCTCCTGGTATAGGGCAGTACTCCTGTCACATGAGGTCTTCAGGGAAGAAGTGAGGCCGCAGGTCAAAGAGTGGCCTTCCCTGCGGTCATGGCCTGTTTCAGGGAAGAAGGGGTGGAGGGAATTCTAGTTTCCATGCCTACTTCAGGAGACAGAGGACAGGAAAAGTCACAGAGACCCTCCTGCTTCTGCGGCGTTTTCCATTTTCTTGAGCTTAAAACAGTACACAAAGGTGCTATATTTTGGAGTATCATGTTCTGAACCCCAAAAATATTCTACCTTAAATAATTGGAGGCCTCCATGAAGGCACAATGATGACATAGGAACTTATGCCTCTCTATCATTTTTTTTTTCAGTAGATGATTGAAGCGAAGCTGTTTTATGCTTGTCTCTTTTCCCGTTTGCCATTTTTGTACCTTTGTTCTCTCACCTAAAAATAGACTAATAAATGGCCAGAGTTGTTGCAAGAAATGTACAATGATAAAAACATCTAATTATTGGTTTTAAATGCATCAATCTTCAATTTCTTTTAAATGTCTACTAGAATGAAATCTGCCCAACTATCTGAGGAGCTTTGTTATTTTTAACTTATTTGGTTTCTATACATGAACCCAAAGGAACTACCTTTTCCTAATTGAATTAGCAGGGCTAGAAATTCAACTCAGCACACGTTTAACTGAGGAGTATCAGGGTTCAGAACACGCTACCCCAAAATGTGACACCTCGGAGGTCACTCTCTCACCTTCTCCCTCCCTCCTTTCCTTCATCTTCCTTTCTCCCCTGAGGAGGTTCATAGAAACCAAAATTTCTCTTTGCCAAAGCAAACCATAAAACCTAGAAAGGCCACTTTCTGACCTTCTCCTTTCTCCCCTGAAGACCCTCAAGTGATAGGTGTCTTGCCCTGAACAGAAAGGCCAAGAAGAAGCTAAACAAATAAGCCTTGCAGAGTCCCCTCAGTTTAGTACATTAGGTCGTACCCCCTTTTTGTCCAGTCACATTTCTATACAACTGTACATTTTTCCTGGAACCTATGCAAAAAAATTACATAGTTTTTCCTGGGTCTTTGGGTCTTAATTTCAGAAGGCACCTTCCTGTGTCACAGAAAACTTTTGTTACATAAATTTTTTTATGCTTTTCTCTTGTTAATCCGCCTTCTGTTATAGTAGTCTCCGCCATGACTCTTGTAGCTGGTGAGGAAAAGGTATTATTTTTTCTCCCCTACAAGAGTAATGGATTTTACAACTTTGACTGTTATACTTTCTAAAAAATGGGTTTAGCAGGGAGGTGGGGGTGGGGGAGAGAGAAGGAAGACACAAAAAAAGACTAGTTTTTATACAGATATTTTCTTATTTTAACTAATTTATATCATCTATAAAGGGAAGCAAATATTAACGTTATTAGTTTCCTCAAGAGGATAACTAAAGAAAACATTCTTGTAACAGGGGAAGAAGTAATTCCATACCTATTGTATCTATAGAGCTGTGCATTTCATGTCTCTAAAATGGAGTAATTTAAAGTTAAAAGGCCTCTTCTAGTAGTTTTCACCAAATGAATTTTATATATACTGAAGACAGATAAAATAAAAATGGTACAGAAAAACGGGAGTTTTAGAGTCTTGTTTCAATTCTTTAGAAAGTAAGTTGTCTAGCAGAACATGCCAACTTGGTTGCCTAAGAGCAATGTAAACTTGAGTCCCACTCGCCATGTTGAATTATTCTTGTTTCTATTTAGCAAGTGGTCTGGAGTCTTTGATCTGCAATGTGTGTAGTTAAAATCATTGTGGCTATTATTTTATCTGCCCAAAATACAGATTTTCTAGGATTTGACAGTATAAAGCATTTGCTTTAATAAGTTGAGATTTAATATTTAATGGTTTCTCTCAAATTCCTGATTGGTCAATGTATTGTTGCCAATTTGTAAATTTTTATCAAAGGTACAAATTTGAAATGTTTTGCTGTATATCATGGAAGAGAAGCCATGATTATGTTCCCTAAGCAAGTTACGGAGGCTTAGAGTGGATAATTATTCTCTCCTTGTCCTGGTACTGCCTTTGAAGAATTTCCATGTTGAGGGTAAGAGAAGATGGTTTAAAAACCTGATGAATTTAGGTAGTTGCTTGAGAGAATGAGTAAAGTCCATTTTTTCCCTGATTAAAATTAAGTCTGTTAGTTGCTTTTTTGCTCACCAAACACATCAATACAGATGCAGATAAGGTGAGGCCTCTTCCTGTAAATCAGCTGTCAAGGCCTATCGGGGAGAAAAACAATGGACAAGGAGGCAAACTGCTTCTCATGAAGGCTGTGCGCTTCTTGTTTGCAAGAAGAATATTTATGGGCTTCACAGCTGGCAGCAAAGAACATTTAAATATATAACTTCATACACATGCAAAGCATTTTGTAGATTAAATCAGCTCGAAGTGTAGAACCTGAGAGGGTTAATAGAATTTCTTGGTAACCATTTAATAAAATTAATGTGCTATTAGTCTGATGTCTTAATTCAATTGGCTGATATATATTCCCAGTTTTCACTCATAGGTGAGCCTTAGAAAAAGTTAGTAAAGATTGTTTTAAGATTGCCAATTTTCTAAGAATGGGAATACAATAAAATGTAGGTAATCAAAATATTGAATCTTTGATCTAGGATCTGTTAGGATAGCAATAATAGGTGCATATATAATGTCTTGTATATTCCTCAAATTTTTATTATTTCCTTTAACTTCCAAAATTAAGAAACTGCCAGAAAAGTATGGCAGGTGTTCTTAGCTACCTATCAAAGCGAAAGCAACTGAGACCCTGAGTGAAGTCGTCAACACAAGGAGCACCACAGAGGGAACGTGGAAGCTCTAAGCAAAACCCACCTCCCTCTGCCTCACCACCCACCTCTCATTATACACATCTATTTCCATCGCATCGTGGAGATGCAGAGGTGCTGGCAGAAAGTCTTGGGTACTTAACTGTTGGATAAATCTTTTACTGAATCTCTTAAAGTTATGCTCACTATAATTGTTGGTGAAATCACTTTAGATCTCTGTTGTAAAGCTCTCTAAATTTCCTCTTCCATTGGTGTTCATAGTTTATGACCTGTCCCACTGAGATGCTACTAAGGGAGTCTGCACAGAGTGGGATTTCTGTATCTGCTACGGTCTGGGTATTTCTGTATCCACTAGGGTCTGGGTATTTCTGTGTCTGCTAAGGTCTCAGCATTTTTGTATCCACTAAGGTCTTGGCATTTCTGTGTCAGCTGAGATCTTTGGTTTTAGGCGACAGAACTCCTCTCTGTCTGGCTTGACCACACGTTGGTCAGAAAGAGGCTGTACTGTGCTCCCTCTAGGACAGTCCACGGGAACTCAGAGGACTGAGGAGGTGACTCAAAAGTTTGGAAGGTGTTTCAAGATTTAGAAGGCAGGATTCAGGTAGCCCCAGAGAGTCTTGGGAATGAATTCCAATTCCCCCTTGTACCACCTTTCACGAGACTCCGGATTATAGGGGCGAAGGAGAAAGACGGGCAAAGCTTCTGTCATGTCATTACACTGGGAAGTGAGAGGGAAGTGCTGGCTGAACCTCTTGGGACCCCCTGTATACTCTGTGGTGGGGGAGAGGGGAAGCGTCTTTGTTTACCCCCTCAATACTTTATACAGCAGAAGAAAGGAGATGCCTGAAAAGGCAACGGGGATGCATTTAGGAAGAAGCAATTGATGCTAGGCACACAAGAAATGCTGCAACATCTAAGTTGTACCTGAAGCAGAATTTCAATTTAATGTGCCATGTCAAGGTGGCCACAGAGCCATCTTTATAAACTGGGAGTATCCACATATTCCAGACTCAGAGAGCAAAGATCCAGGACTAGTACAGAAAGTCACTCCGTATAACTGGAAAAGCTTGCTTGTCTGCTTTCAGATACGTTTCTCAACCCTCATCCATAACACGATGCTGTAAACCCTAGAGTAAGACAGAGATAAAGCATGTGCTGGGATGAAGAGAGCCACTTTGGGGAAGTGCCACCACATCCCAGGCTGCAAGGCATCTCTCTCTGCTGCTTGTGCAGACTGGCTGGGGTGAGCTTTGGAGCTGGTCTCATCTCGAAGGCAGGCGCTGCTGAGGCCTCTGTGCCCTTTTGCCTGGGTTAGATTTGGCTTCAAAATTAATTTGAAATCATTTAATCTTGCTACTCTCAGCAGGTCAGTGATTAACAGGAAATTCAGTGCCCATGTTGGTCCTGTTTATGAGCCCAAGTCTATGTCATAAGTAAAAACAGGCTTAAACACATCAGGAAACTACTCAGTATAGAGTGGAAAAAGCCTGGGCTGGGCTTCCACTCAAGGGCCCTGCACACACTGCATCCACAGGCCCTGAGGGCAGCCCCTGGGCTTCAGCCGTCTGCGTGCACTCTTGTCTAGTACCGTGCCTGATGTGGGCTATGTGCTCTACTGGTATTTGTTGAGCACATCATCAAGTTACTACGTGAATAAACATCACTTATCTGGGTCTTGGTTTCCCCCATTTGTAAAACCAGAGAGTTGGGCTAGGAAACTTTTGAGTCCCTCCAGCGCAGTGATTGATGTATAACATAATCAGCAATGTTGAACTTTGAAGAGAATACAAGCCTTATGTTGTCACTGATATATTTCAGAACACCTTGTTACTATTTGTAAGGATGTTTGAGAACATGTGGGCAAATGCATCTATTTTTTCTTCCCTAAAAGGTAAACTTGTCTCCTTTACAACCAAACAAAAGAGGATGGCACTGCATAGCAGAGGCTAAGCTACAGGCTGGGTACCACTGAGCAGTGGAGTAACCCAAGTTTAAACTTGAAACCACATTTGTGCAATAAGCAAAAGCTTCACATTTATAGAACATCGATGCTGCGGCACAGCAGGCTACTTTCATATGTGTTATTTCATTAAATCCTTAAAACTTCAATGTCGTATGTATGTATTATTTAATAAATAAGGAACCACAGACTCAGAGAGTTTACTTAATTTGCCTAAGGTCACAGAGGTAATAAATGGATAAAACCAAGATTTGAATATAGGTCTGAATAAATTATTCATGCTCTCATACCTACCTATTTAATGTTATGGAGTTGTCTACCTTTCTGCTTCATTTTTCTTTATATTTTTACTCTACATGATCCTTATTTTGAGGCCTTCCATTGCTTGTTCTCCTTCTCTTGATTCCTGCATTATTTCCTTTCCAACATGTGCTTTGATGCATCTGTTTTCTCTATGGAGCCAAGGAATTTTCCATCCTCTCAGTTTTATGGGAAGATACAGAAATTCTCTACTCATTGAGTCCCAATGACAATCTAATTATTTCTAAATCTCACCGTCCAATAATTATCTTTTTAAGCTCTTCCTCTCCCTCTGAATTGTGTGGTGTGTTCCCTGTTGACATTTGATTAAGGCTTTGCCCATGCTGCTTGAATAAAAATATTTATATTTCAAAATTTCTGACTGCCAATTATCCATATTTTGATGCTTAATGTCCATAATATCACAATTTGACATGAAAGATATTCTTAAAAATCATTTTATTATAGCCACAGAGTAGAGTTGGAAAAATAACTCTAGGATAAACAAATACATACTTATTCATTCCATACCTGCTTGATGACCTACTATGTGCCAGGCCTTATTCTAGGTGCTCACACATAGCACCTAGAATTCTGTTGATCCTGGGAGTTTAACGATAGGCAAATAGAAGTACAATGAGACAGATGACAGATGTTCTTTCTTCCTGCCTGTCTACCTACTTGTCCATCCATCAATCTTCATGAGAAAATGGACTCAAGATTTTGAAAACCTCAAAATGCTTCCTTTTGTTCTAGCCCTTGCTTTCACGTTTAAATGAACTCTCAGTGTTGTATATATATTTTAGAAAGTTTAATTTTCACTAAAATAAACTTTCAGTCTCTACAAGTGTTGACATTTAACTCCAAGAATACTTTAGTTGGTTGGAAAATCATTTCTGGTAAAGACTTCATTGTAGAGAGGAGACTTCTCCACCTCTGATTACTCCTACACCTTGACTGAGTACTGACTACATGTACTAGACGTTTGTTGTGAGCAAGTTTCATATACTATTTTATTGTGTTCCCACTACTGACCTATAAAGTATGTGCTATTATATTTTGTTTCATTTCCTGTCCAAAGAATATTTTTTTAACCAAAGAATCCAGTAGAAATGCCTTTAGACTTACATAGTGATTGTTAGGAGAATGATCTATAGCTGTTCGGAGTTTGCAGAACCTCGAGTGAATCTTTCACCAATTACTAAATGTTAACCGAACATTTGTGAACATGTGTAATATACTCCCTCTAGGACGGGATAAAACCTCAAGAAACCTAGGAAAATGGCCAAATTCTTGCTCTGGACTGCGGCTCTCAATGATAATTGGCATATACTGGTTATTTAAGACCTCACAGCTGCTCTGGTCTGAATGCTATTTGAGATATAAAATTGTGGGCTATGTATGCAATCTGCCTTGGCTCCCATAAAATTAAGAAGTTTAATTATTAATGTATATGAGTATGTTGAGAAAATGATATAGTTCCACTGACTATGATAGTCTTGCTGTATTACCTGCTGTTTTAGGATATAGGGATACAGCATCTTAATATAATTGACAGTAAGCCTTCTCATTGTAAATTAATCTGAGTGCTTCACATTGAAACATGATTCTTTTTTAATGTATATATTAAGTTTCGACTACATGGATGCCTTTTAAACTTTCTAAAGAAGATTTTAAAAAGCTTAGACTGTAGCTATTCAGATTTATAATTCCACTCAACTCTGCTATATGATCCTGAAAATGTTTAAGTACATTACATATAACTTAAATTATTTAAAAGTTTATTTTACACTTCTTGAAGACTAAGAACTCCTTGAATTTATTTCACAAAAGGCTTATCTTCTCCAGAATAAATTTAACTTGCCTCATGTAATTAGCATTCAGAAAGGCTCGAATTAACTGGAACATAGCTAAATAGAACCTTTAATTTACTAGATTTTTTTTTTCTTTTTGCTCTACTTTTAGAGCTTGAAATCATTGGAAAACAAACAAAATAGCAAAGATTTGTTTTAAAAATCAGCCTCCAAGGTTAGTGCTAGGGTCAGTAAATAGCTAGCCAAGTTTTCATATTACAAACCTATATAGTTATGATTTATTTAAAATGATGAACCAGAGATACCCATGTTTTCTAATGCATGAAAGAAATATTACAGAAATATTAAATATGTTATTTGCTGGGGTGAAAAAATAAGCTAATAGATGTTGAGAATATTTTCAGCAATGAAAGATTGAAGCAGAATTGATTTCCTAGTTATCACTCTGAAAACCAAGAAATTAAATGAACCCAAACTCATTTTTACCAGAGCATTCTAATTAATCAAATGGATTAACAAATGCATGAGTGAGGGATGAAAAATACTTGTGGGAGAAAAACAGAGGTGATACTTTTGGTGAGAGAAATTGCTCATGTAAAATAATTTTAAAGGAAGTTACACATTTATTGAATGCAGCATATAGAGTCCTGTGCTTCCGGTCTTTACCAACTAATCTCCCCTAGGCCCTACCGTCACCCATCCCTTTTCCAGAAATCTTCTAAAAACATCTCCTTCTTCTCCAATTACTCTTTATTATAATATTTATGATTAAAGTCTGGCAACATTTATGTGCCAGGTACTATCCTTACTGACATAGAAACCCTATGAGCCATAGAGCTCGCTCTTTTGCTATAACTTCTTAGAGTTTTCTGCACTTCAGATTTCGCCACTTCAGATATTTCATTATTCCATGTTTATTTCAAGAGAGGTTTACCAAATACACAGAAGAAAAAAAAAAATCTCTAAACTAGAATGCTGATTTCCAATTCCCCTGTTTCAACTAGTTACTGACTTTCCTACTTCCAAAACAGTTTGAGGGAACTTAAAAGACACAGTTACAATAAAAGCCTAAACAGAAAAGAAAGCAGGATGGAGAAAGAGAATTCTATCAGAGTAATCATGCTAAGAAAAGCAAAGTGCACCCAACCGAACCAAAAGATACCAGAGATACTCATGACAGGAAACTTGACAAGCTCCACTGTGCATGTTTGATTAAAGGAAGTAAATCAGTGCATCAGGAAAGCCAAACATTTTCTCTTGACTAAACTTCAAGAGGTGTTTCCTCTGTGGTTCTTTGTCTCAGAGTTTGTCCATGATAGGCATGGAGAAATATTTGTTGCATGGTAAATAATAAATATAAGTGATACTTAGCTGATAACCAGGGTCCACAGCGGGAAAGACTGGGCAATAGGTCTCCACTCCTTGTCCTGCTTCCACTGTGAAGTTACCTTTGCCAGCGGCTCAGTACCAAATGCTCAATTGCCCCTGAGAAGTGTCACCTGAATGCTCCCCAGTCTTCTAGCCCACTGACCTTGGCACCCAATTAAAACAGCTTGATCCCTCCTCTCACATACTATCAGAAGCCTCAGGACCCTACCTTGTGTTTTGTTATTTTGGGTTTTGTTTTATTCTATTTTTGTTTTTATTCCAAACTCTTGCTGTGGGACCTTCTTGGATATCTCTCCATCCCTGTTGCCATTTCTCCCTCCACATCTCTGGTAACAGATGTGAGACTTCTTGGACATCACTGTGGGAAACACAGTGGCCTTCATCCCCTGCACCCTGGCTTCCTGAAGGGCTGTGCTGGCTTCTCCTCCAGGGTCCCTACCTTGAAGCCGCTTCAGGTTCCTCTGTATTATGCAGAGCAAGGGGACTCTCCTCTCTCCGCTCCCAGACTATTCAAAAGGCCCGCCATCTTTGCCTTATTAAAATGTGCATTGAGATATTTTCCAAACGAAAAGAACTATCCGCAAGAAAAATGTATTTCTCCTCCAGCAACTGGCCCGAACTGAAATGAGATTTTAAAATATTTTCTCCCTGTGACACAGACACACCTTGATGAACCAGGTGGCTACCCTCTAGGGTCCTGGGAACATCTCCCAGTCAGAACAGGCCCGGTTTTCTCCAGCAAGAGAAGATGGTTCTCTAAGGAGCCCTCGTCCTAGAAGGCAGCGTCGTAGAGGGAAAGAACCAGGCCTGGAGCCAGGCCGACGTTGGTTTAATTCTTTTCTCTATAACCCATTACTTTGCTGCTGGCTCTTGGACGATTCTCAGAACTTTTCAGAGCCTCACTTTTCTCATCAATAAAAGGGAGAGAAGAAAGCTTAGCTTTGTATTGCAGGCGCCATTTACCCTTCAGGGTGACTTCTCTTATGACTTTTCTTATTCCAGACCCTTTTGCATTTTAAGCTGGATCTCTCACTGAATAAGGAGAGGGTTGCTTCAAAGGATTTTCAGACACCTTTGAACAGGCAGCAGAGATGCCTTTGCACATGGCCTTGGTGACTAGGATAGGATACACGGTGTTCCTAGATCCAGCCTGGAACTAGAGGCGATAGGCCGCCCTGAAAGGCCAATGGGCTTTCAAGGTGGACAGCCGTGGTTTTAAATCCTGGCCTTTTCCCCGCTATTACTAGAGCGACCATCAGACTTTTTTGACCTCAGTTTTGTCTCTTTAAAATGGAACAAGAATTATCTAACAGACAGAATTACATCTTTTAGATTGTCGTGAGGAAAGCGCTTCCCATAGTGCTGGGTAGACTGGGAGCGCTGGGAGCTGTGGCAGGCCAGCCGCCGCAGCACAGTGGTGAGATGCGCGGTCCACAGTCGTTCCCCCTTGGGAGTTGTTCTCCCCTGAGGAACAGAGGATAGGGACTCTGTCTGAGTGCCTGGAGAGGACCCCTTGCTCTGGCATTGAGTTTCTTCCAGCCCCGCCCCATGCAGGTGAGATCCCTACTCACAGCCTAGGGCGCACCCGAGCCGCCAGAGCACAGCCTCCTTTCCGGCTCATCACCTGCTTCCTGCGGGAGGAGAATACGCAACTCCTTCGCCATGCACATGCGCACAGGGTCTGCCGCGGGATGCCCTGTCTTTCCTGTAGATGGGGAATTGTTTGGGATTGTTACACAATCACAAACCAACACTGAATCCTACTGAAAAAGGACACAGGCTCTTTGAACTCTGCACTAGAACCTAAAACCAAATTCCTTTTAGACCTGTTCTAGGAGGACTACGTTAACCTGATAGCTGCTGACACAGGGCAGCATGCCTAAAGCTCCTAAGTTAGACTGGTAGGTACCGTTAATTATTCCTCGTTACATCACGCAGGTACACAGAGGGACGATGACATGTGCATCCTCTGCTCAGAATTGCTTCTGTGCTGCTGGTGACGATGGCTTCATGGGTCTTTACAGAATGTAGAGGAAGAGAACAGCAAAGATTTGCTGGGGTTTGCCACTGAATAGCAGCAAAGGCAAATCCCAAATAACAGTGGATGTATTTCATTATCAGTAAAATGAAGGGGCTGGGCTAGGGCGGCTCCAAGATCCCTCTGGCTCAGAACGTTCCTTGATACTTTGATTCCATCTATGTAACATAGCCTGAAAGTCTTAGCATGTTTTCTGAGATTATCCCAGTAGAATACCTTGTCTGCAAAAGGCTGAAATTTATTATTTGGGAATAATAAATCAGAACAAAAAAAGATGTAGAGTCCACGGTATATTATTAGTTTTGAGTGTACTAATCCTTATTTTATGAGATTTAATTTTTGAAATGTTTACCTTTCCATTCAGACTATTGTCAGGAAAAAAAGCGTGATTTTTGTGTTCAGGGAAGAGGTAGGCAAGGGACTAATGAATATGTGCTTTGCCCTTGCTCTGATAAATGCTGTAGTTATAAAAAGTCGTGGCAGGTTATGGGGGCCCTTTTGTTTACCATGATAAAATTAATACCTTACAAGTTTTCAAAGGAGTTTGTAAGACGTTACAGATTTATTTTTAATATAATTTCAGAGTTGGAAAGCTAGACAGTTGGAAGTAGTGCTTGGAAAGCCTGATTCTTGATAAATTCATTATCAATAATACCATGTGCAGAATAAAATTACAATTTCAGCAAAGAATATTCTTCCATAACATTTTATTATTACTGTGAAACTAATTAAACATTGTAATCTGCAAGTAATTAAAAATTTACCTGAAAATATACTATGAGCCCTGTTGACAGTACATGGAGCATTTTGTGCGATTATTTAATGTCTGCTATTTTTTCTTGGTTGCTCTATTAGGAAATTGTAGTCTATATGGTTTTATAAAAAGGAGGCAAATTATAGACTAATGGAGCTAGAAGACTCATTAAAAGATGATCTGCCCCTGGGAGATTGGGTGTCCTCTTTGAAAGGCTTCTGAGATGGAATGGAGACATTCCTGGGAGCCCCTCCTGGGTTTGGTACCGTGGAAATCCAGGTGACTGTCACTCTATTCACTATTATGTGTCCCTGCGTTCCTTAAGCACATTTTCACAGATGTATTTTTCACATGCAGGGAATGCATACAAAGCAACTAGCACACTGCTTAATGATTACCAAGCGTTCAATGAAGAGAATCATTCTACTAGTATTATTCTTTGTGCATGGATTATTACAATACTCTAACTTTTTTAACTTTTCACTCAGAGGGATATTCCAATGAGACTTTTTATTATAACTCCTCATTCACTTACCAGTGTGATTTCTTGCTACCACACGTACATTTCTTCTTTTTTAAAATTCTTATTTCCATAGGTTTTTGGGGAACAGGTGGTGTTTGGCTACATGAGTAAGGTCTTTAGTGGTGATTTGTGAGATTTTGGTGCACCCATCACCCAAGCAGTACACACTGAACCCAGTTCGTAGTCTGTTATTCCTGACCCCCTTCCCATGCTTTCCTCCTGAGTCCCCAAAGTCCACTGTGGCATTCTTATGCCTTTGCGTCCTCATAGCTTAGCTCCCACTTATGAATGAGAACATATACATTTCTTCTAAATGTGCTCTGGTTTATCCATATATTATTGGAAATAAAGCCACCACAACTGATATCTTACTTTATGAGTGTTTCTTATGGGGTAGAAATTTCTGATATAATAAAGGCCAAAGTTGTAACATATTTATTACCTTTACTTCAGCCAGACTCACAAAAATAGCTGCGTTGATAGCTCTCTCCTGATCTCTAATCTCTTCCTTCCTCCCTCCTTCTCTTGTTTCTTTTCTTTCATGCATTGAAAATTGACTGGGGCACCATTTTCAATGCTGGAATATGACTGTGAACAAAAGTAAAGGCCTGTGGTATCATAGAATGTTAAGTTTTGGGAGTGGGAAATGACAATTAGTTATTTAATCAAGGAAAGGCATAATTCCAAAAAATGTCAATTGCTATGAGAAAATTAAAACGAGGTGATGTGGGGGTGGTAACATACTCTAGATGGGTTAGTCAGAAAAGGCTTTGTAAACATTGTAACTGTGCTCCTTTTAGGAATTTCTTAATATTTATCAATAAAAGTATGCAATCATACTTTTGTATTTTATTTTTATTAAGTTTGATAAATAGGTGATGTTTATATAAGGCACATATATTTTATGAAGTTATAGTTTGAATGTGATTACCATTTTAAATAGCAAAGATCTGTTAGTTCTGGTACAAGGTATTTCCCCAAGGTCTTACAGAAATGTAAAGGGTTGATACTATTCTGAGTGCATATAAAACTTTTAAAACTGAAGAACATTGTTTAGCACTATACAAACTATAGCAATAATTTAAGATCTGCCATAGTGGCCTTCTTCTGTGCCTCAGAGAACTTGGAAATCATCAGTAGCTTATGCTAACATAAAAATACATTAACCATGAGTTACACATTCTCATATATATGTTTTCAAATACCAGCAATCATTTCATTAAAAATAAAACAAGCACTTCCACTTATCTTAAAGACTACTTCTCGGCTGGGCGCGGTGGCTCACGCCTGTAATCCCAGCACTTTGGGAGGCCGAGGCGGGCGGATCACGAGGTCAGGAAATCGAGACCATCCTGGCTAACATGGTGAAACCCTGTCTCTACTAAAAATACAAAAAATTAGCTGGGCGTGGTAGCAGGCGCCTGTAGTCCCAGCTACTCGGGAGGCTGAGGCAGGAGAATGGCGTGAACCTGGGAGGCGGAGCTTGCAGTGAGCTGAGATGTGCCACTGCACTCCAGCCTGGGTGACAGAGCCAGACTCCGTCTCAAAAAAAAACAAAAACAAAAACAAAACAAAACAAAAAAAAACAAAAGACTACTTTCTCAATAGAATATTTTAAATTCTTCCAAACACTGTAAGATATGTTTTAAGATTAACTACCATTTTTTAGCTGAATTAATTTTGATTCTAACAATAACTACAAAATGTGACATTATGTTTTCCATCTTATAGATAAGGAGGCTCAAGAACAGAGAGGGAAGTTCAGAGCTTGCCAAAACCACAGTCATGAGAGATTTTAAGGAGGTGGACTCATAGCCAGGGCTTCTAACTCCAGATGCCCTAAGTTCTCTATGAGAGCTCAGTGCTCAGTGTCATTGGAAGACAGTAGACAGCGGTATTGTTAGGTTGACTAAAATCTGGAGGAAATTGGTCACTTGATAAATGTAATTTTAAAATATCTTCATTCTGTAAATAGATTAATACTTCTAAATAAATCTTATCTCTAGCAGTTGAGTATTAGAATGCTGTATTATAAACTTACGCCAACAAAAATTAATGATGTTGAATTGAGAAACAAGAAAGAAGATATTTAAATGTATCATTACCCCACTTACTTTTGTCTATAAGAAATTGCTCATTTCCAGATTTTTCTTTCCTACTCAAGCCAGCCTTTTGGCTTTCTAAAAAATAAATACATAATTAGAAAATTAGAAATTAGAAACTTCCCTAAAAATTGTAATAAAACTTGTACAGATTATAGAAAACGTTCACAGGAAAGAAGAGGGAGGGAGGGAGGTAATTTCTATAATTGGATTATTTTTGTAAAACCTTTTCAAGAAAAATTGCAGGTCCAGACACCCACATTGTCCTAGCAACTACCTTGGTTCCCACCATCCCACCGCTGCTCAAGGCACCCCCACCTTTATTCTGAACTGAGTGATTTCCAAGCACAGTTTGCATAAAGAGACATGAATAGAGTTTCAGGGAATGAGCGCTCATAGGTAGTGCAATACTTTATTATCTCTTATAATTATACTGATTTTAGCTTCAAGGCCTGACTGATATCACTAGGTATCAGAATCTCAATTTTATTAGTACATTAAAAAAATTACTCAGTTAAGAAGTAAAAGTTACAAAAACCAGTTTAATGTGTAATACAGCCATTTACAGTGCACATGTAAGCCTAACCCAGATGCCAGAGATGAACGCTTAGCTTGGGCTTTCTGCCTAATATGTTTTTCCCTGGAACTACAGGTATTATTTATACGTATGAGATGTGGTTATCAAGAAATAAATAAGAATACTAAATTCCAAGAGTAGTTTGGTTTTTCTGTTTGTGTGTGTGTGTGTGTGTGTTTAGGTAACTGGGGTACGTTTCTGGCTTGCCACATCTTCCTCAGTACCTACAATAGTGCCCTGTCCATCATAGATTCCTAATAAAATACAGATTGACTCATTAATGGTAGGTCACATGTCATTATTTTCTCAATTTTAGTGGTAGGAGTTATTTCTTTCTAAACCTTTACTTTCATTTACTCAACACATATGTGTCTGTCTTAGCACTGAATCTATTGCTGTAGGTCAGCAAGACATTTTAAAATTGTTCTTGAAAGAATGCTATGAAATTATGTAATCTGGTCAAAGTAGGAAAGCATAAAATTGGCAAAATGTCCAAAGCAAAGCCCATACTGTAAAAATCATGTCCTGATGTCACTGGAAGTTGTTTTGGGCATGAAACCAGCAATGAAGCAAACCAGGATGACCCTCTTAGAGCCCAACTAGATCCTAAATGTCATTAAAGTCACTAAAGCACTTTACCACTAAATGTGGTAAAGATTCCTTTGGAAACTAGCTAGCTTGAAAAACCAATTCGGCACCAAAACTTTCAGTGACTCACATCTTATCATCAGGCCAGCTTAAAATTAATTTGATATGCTACCCTGACACTAGGCATGAAAAGAAAATAAGATTAGCCAGTACATTTTTGCCTACCATTCAGCAACAAATGGAAGAGCCAAATAACTGCGCATTCACTCTTAGATTCCTTGTAACTCAAGTTATCTTCTTTTCAATAAACGAAACCAAGCTACAAACAGATTTTATTGCTTACAAGTGAGCAGCGCTTCTGATTGTGCACTTCCATGTCAGACCTCACATTAACAATAGTGATTATTTCAGAAATGTGCATAAACTCAATATTGGAATGAATTGTTTTACAATTGTTTTGTATTCCAAACCAGACAGATCAGGCAAAAACATGAGGGAGTTAAAAAAAAAAAAATATATATATATATATGTATATATATGCTCAGATGAAGGCTAGGGTATCAAATAGTTGAGTTTTTTTGTAACTTTACTTCCTCCCCTCCAAATTCTGAGATGGCTTAAAGAACTTTTATTAATAAGACAAACTATTTTAATCTTTCCCTTCAAACTTTAGCTGCCGATTTGCCTACCAGTTTGTGACTTGGAATGTCCTTATTTTTTTTATATCATTTAGGGTTTTGGGCTAGGGCTTAGGTGCCTGGATCCACACTCATCCATCTTCCTTCTTAGAGTGATAGCCAGGGGTCTGTTCACAGGAGGGCAAGAAACCAGTGGCAAACAGAATGCCAGCCAATTCACCAGACTGGGAAATGCCTAGTCAGCTTCAAAGCCAGATCTCCTGGGAGGTCGCAGATGGAAGCACGTGACCTGCACCACAAGGCTGTTTGCCTCTTTCCCTCAAATCTCTGCCTGATGGACACCCCCCAATGTGGCGATTAGATTTTATCACATCAGTGTGGGGGGAGGCCAGTCAGAATCATCCACAAGTACCAGGGCACAGAGAGAGGAAATGAGGCATGGCTCCTACATGCATAGACACACATGCATTCACACACTTACATATACATTCACACACTCGCACACACTTATTCCCACATCACACACAAAGTCACATTCATACGACTCGCACACATTCACACTCACATTCACATCATTCACACAGATTCTCACACTCACACACCCATTAACACACTTACATAAACATTCACACAGTTACACATTCATATACACACACACATACACTCACACAGTCACATGCCTCCGGTCACACACATTTACACACATTCATACGCCCACATACATTCATACACATGTATGTATTCACACATATGTATATTCACACATGCTTTCACACTCACACATGCATTCACACCCTCACACATTCATTCATGTGCTCACACACATTTGCACACTCACACATACATAGTCATGCACATTCACACGCAGACATTCACACACAGATGCACACACAGACATTCATACACATTCACACACACATCCACGCACATTCACACACACACATGCACACACAGACATGCACAGACATTCACACACAGACATGCACACACAGTCATCCACACACATTCACACACACACATGCACACACAGACATGCACAGACATTCACACACAGACATGCACACACAGTCATGCACACACATTCACACACATTCATACACAGACATTCACACACAGAAATTCACACACAGACATTCCCACACAGTCATGCACACACATTCACACACAGGCATTCATACACAGACATTCACACACACATGCTTCCTTCACCTGCACCATCTGTGTAGTATGGTGTTTAGACATCCTCCATCTTTTCTCGTTAAACATTTTAAAAACTCTTAGCCAAAAGTGGCTGAAAGAAATATCATCTTTATTATTCTGTAAGTTTTTGTTTCACATAGGTTGTACATTAACCACTTGTCCTTTTCCTCTAAGTAACATACAGTCTATGTCCAAGGCTGGTTTTCCCCCAAAAATTCTGCTGCAATAATTGTGTCCTTGACTTGGGGTCACATTACAACATTAAATGCATGGAGTTATCAACCTGGCATTCCACTAATGCTCCAAGTTTTATGTTTAAATAGTCTTCATTAGTTGTATTTCCAGGGAGGTCTTCTTCCTCCAGTATGATCTTCTAAATGCTTACTGACCATTCAGTCTTGGAAATAATTTTTCTTTCTATTTCCCTGGAGCTTGAACTCATGTGTCTATCTCCAGTTGTTCTACATCATGCTTGTCTGAAGTGAACAGAGATGAGAAGGAAAATGTTTATACATTTCCTTCCCTAGATAGAGCCGAAGATTACAAAAGGCCTCCCAGCTCTGTTCCTTCACCACCCCCTCCTCCATGCTAAAACCATGCATGCTTCCCGGGTATCACTGTTCTCATGTGGGTGCAGCCATCTGGAGGGTAGCGTTTCAATATTCATGGTCACCATCATAGGGGGTTCCTCTCCAAAGAAAGCAATGACAAGTGGAACCTCATTGTAGGTGGATTTGAGGGAGACTTTACACTACTGTGAAGCTTTCTTCTGACAAGGAGGAGGTCAAGAGTGGGAAGGGAGGCCAAGGCCACAAGATTCCACTGGAAACCATCACTCTCTTCCTGCTGTCCTCTAATAATACAGGAGAGAATATGGCATCAGCAACTGCCAGCAGGATCCCTGGGAGATCTTTTCTCTCTTTATTGTTTACATGATATCACTTTAATATTCAGGAGGCTTTGATTTGCATTTCTCTAATTACCAGTGATGATGAGCTTTTCTTCATGTTTGATGGCCGCATAAATGCCTTCTTTTGAGAAGTGTCTGTTCATATCTTTTGCCCACTTTTTGTTGGGGTTGTTTGTTTCTTCTTGTAAATTTGTTTAAGTACCTTGTAGATTCTGGATATTAGTCCTTTGTCAGATGGATAGATTGCAAAAATTTTCTCCCATTCTGTAGGTTGCCTGTTCACTCTGATGATAGTTTCTTTTGCTGTGCAGAAGCTCTTTAGTTTAATTAAATCCCATTTGTCAACTTTGGCTTTTGTTGCCATTGCTTTTGGTGTTTTAGTCATGAAGTCTTTGCCCACACCTTTGTCCTGAATGGTATTGCCTAGGTTTTCCTCTAGGGATTTTATGGTTTTAAGTCTTACATTTAAGTCTTTAATCCATCTTGAGTTAATTTTTGTATAAGGTGTAAGGAAGGGGTCCACGCCAGTTAGAATAAAGTCAGGAAACAACAGAGGCTGGAGAGGATGTGGAGAAATAGGAACACTTTTACACTGTTGGTGGGAGTGTAAATTAGTTCAACTGTGGTGAAAGACAGTGTGGCGATTCCTCAAGGATCTAGAACCAGAAATACCATTTGACCCAGCAATCCCATTACTGGATATATACACAAGAATTATAAATCATTCTACTATAAAGACACATGCACACGTAAGTTTATTGCAGCACTATTTACAATAGCAAAGACTTGGAACCAACCCAACTGCCCATCAGCGATAGACTAGATAAAGAAAATGTGGCACATATACACTGTGGAATACTATGCAGCCATAAAAAAGAATGAGTTCATGTCCTTTGCAGGGACATGGATGAAGCCAGAAACCATCATTCTCAGCAAACTAACACAGGAACAGAAAACCAAGCACCACATGTTCTCACTCAGAAGTGGGAGTTGAACAATGAGAACAAATGGATACAGGGAGAAGAACATCACACACCAGGGCCTGTTGGGAGGTTGGGGGCTAGGGGAGGGATAGCATTGGGAGAAATACCTAATGTAGATGATGGGTTGATGGGTGCAGCAAACCACCATGACACATGTATACCTATGTAACAAACCTGCACGTTCTGCACATGTATCCCAGAACTTAAAATATAATAATAAAAAAAAGAAAAAAAAAAGGAAAATATTTTCCAAAATAAAAAAATGTTTAAGAAGAGGAAAAAAAATTCAGGAGGCTTCAGTCAGATGTGGACTTACTGGGACCAAATATATAAGACATGTTTTATATCTGATAGAAATGTTTTAGGGAAGACATAGTGCAACGTTCCTTGGTTCAGAAATGGCATCCCTCTTCTTGTCCTGCCCAGAAGAGTCAATATGCCTATAACATATCAGAAGGGATTTTGCTTTCCATTAAAAAAGTAGATTCATGGTCTTTCCCTTTATAGAATTATAGTTACCAATGAACAAGTTCCTATCCCCAAACTATTAGATAGCAACGGTCACCATGGTAACTAAGTTGAGTGCTATGAATTATTTCTTACAACATTATTTTTGGAGCTTTACCTAAGGTTATAGATAGTTTCACTTAACTGGGTAAATACTAAATTTAGAATATACCTGTGAATTATAAATAGTATGAGCAAAAAGCATAATAATATTAGTAGATTAAAATTCTGAGACTTTTTTATATTAGGGGAATTGGAATAATAACTTTAAATGTTTGTAAGATGCAAGTGTAAGTGTGAGATGCAAGTGTAAAGTGTAAGATGCAATATCACAATTCACATTTTTACAACATAATTAAAAATTGACATTATGACACAGAAATGAGATATTAAATTATAACAACAGTTTTTAAAAGTCATGTATGTGAATAAGAAAATTATTTTAAACTTAATTTTTAATGTTTCTTCACTAAGTAAAAAAACACACCAATGTAGCTGTCTTGATAATGAATTCTTTTTTGAATAAAGTAATAATGAGAAACATTTTAACAAATAAAATCTATTTTACTTTTTTAGAGTGTTTGATGCTGTTACAAATATTGAATAGACTGAATCTTTTTCTCATCTGTGCCTGCCTATCTCTGTGTATAATGAGATTGTTACTTGGATTCAAAGAGTGACATCAGCAAGATGGCCAACTAGAGCCACCTGATGCTCATTCCCCCAACAAAAGGAGACCAAAACAACAGATGGTTACCCATGTTATACATTAAGCTTTTAAAAAATAGTACTAGGGAAATTTGAGATTGTTCTAGGCCTTTGAGTTTGGAAATAGAGCTGACACATAAGGGACAAATTTAAAAATCCTCTGATTTCCCCAATATGTTGTTTCTAGCGGTAGTTTACCGTGATTTGTAGTATGTTAAGATGAATGTATATGCATAAGCCCCATGTTATTCTAAATCTGAATGGAGTGAATAACTATGGTGACAAGTTTAAAGATGTCTTGCTTTTCTTAGTTTATCTTCTAGAAATATTATTGCTATTATAGAATGGCTCTTTGTATGTAATAATACAATTTCAGTACTACTTAAATTTTTATTCACTAAATATTACCTTTTCTGTAATATGTATTGTAATTGCATACAAAGGAGGAATCTCATGGTGTTTCAATACAGTCTAAATGCCTTCCTTGCCTTTAAAAAGCTTCTCAGTTTATATGATGGTCCTCAAAAATTAACCCCCCATGTAATTCTCTATCAAATCACAAGAACAATATCAAGCTTCATGTAAAATATATTATAAAATCCATACTTTATTGCCAATTGTGCACGAAGAGACATAGCCCACTTTAACCTTCATTAACAGTCTATAGTTCTCTGTTCTATAGAAATCGTCCTTTAATGAAGGGAAAAAATAGCACAAAAGGTAACACAGTAAAACTATCCATGTAACTCCCCTTCTTGCTCAAGAAATTCAGTTTTAAAAGTTAATTATCTATTGGGCAAAAAGTAACATTGCCACCATGTGATTTTTGGCCCAGTTGGCCTGGTATTCATGACTCTGTCTAGACACCCAGACTCTTATGTTTAGGAATCATTGAGGGGGGCAGGGGACAGTTGGTGCTAAAACTGATCTATTCTGTTCATCTACACTGATATAGATGTACCATATACAGATTTTTAAATCAATCCAATGTAGGACATAAGAAGTTAATCTAGCAAAGGTTTTACTCAGTGGTTAGGGTAAATAGGAGGCTTCATTCATTAATTCATTCCTTCAACAAGTATTTATTGAACACCTGCTGTGGGCCAGGCCCCGAGCTGGCCGTGCAGATAGGACAGTGAGTAAGACAGAGAGCAGGTTTCAGTCTTCCAGGAGATGAGGCTGACTGTGGGTGCCCAAGCAGCCTTCCAGGGCTGTCCAGTGAATTCAAGAGGGCAGGGAACGTGAGGGAGTTACTCCTTCTTCAAGGAGAAGTAGCTGGTATATCTATAAGGATTTCCTGATATATCTACAAAACACCTCTCTCAAAAAGCATCTGTGAGAATGTGTGAGGGGATATATTTTTTAGGTACTTAGCAGAGCACCTGGCATGTGGTAAGTACCGGGCAGTCTCCTTTTACTTCTGTGTCGAGGTCAAACCACACCTTGGAACCAGAGAGAGGCTGAGCACAGGGGAGAAAACAGACATGTAAATGGGGGTCCTCCAACACCCCCTTCTGTGGAAATGAATTTCAGCCAGCAGGCCTGTACTGGAAAGAGGAAAGGTCTGATCTTCTGCCCTTTAGTTGCAGCTCGGTTTGTTGTCCCTGTATAAAATGTAGCAACGGTAAGAAATGTCGGATTTCAATACAGTATGGCAAACATTTATTTAACATCTGTCACATAAAAGACTGTTGCTTACTTGGGAATTTGTGGATGATGTTGCCAGGCCCCTCACTGGAATCTACATGAGAGAATGATCACTTACGTGGCATTGGTTTTTGATAGATTCACTTAGGACCTTTGTTAGATGTATTGCAACTCTAGCATGTATTTCTGCTTATTATAGAAAGAGCAAAGGAACAACAACAACAAAACAGGGCCTATCACAAAATATACTGCAGAAGAATGAGTTCCTTGTAGTGTTTTGAATATCTGAGGTAGATGGTGGCATGCAGTCAAGGTTCTGTGTATTTGTGAACAAAAATAGAAAAATATAACGCTTCATATCTTTCAGGCAACACTAAGTTATATATAGTAAGATCAGCCATGACTATTAAACAAGAATGCTTTAGAAAAGATAAAATGAAAATTTATATTCCTTTTAGAATAAAACATATCTTAAATTTCTATAAACTGTTGTGCCTCATACGTATTACAAAAATAAGCAGTAAAAAATAAATTGCACCTACCTGAAATCATCTTCCGAGATACCCTAAAACTACACATCGCTTTCATCTGACTGTGGCTGCACGTGGGCAAGGCTACATTGCACACCAGCCAGATCCACCTTGTGTAGCAAAGCATGCGCCAGGGGTGCATCGTTCAGGGCGTGGCAGCTGCACTGCATTAGATGTGCTGGATGTGTGCACAGAGCCACGCTCTGTCTGTACATTTACATCTACAGAAAGACACAGATCGTCACGATCTTCTGTAGATGTGCATGTCATTGTCCTGGTCTTGGTAGTTGCTAACAGTGATGCTGGCAATGGTATCAGGGAATAAAACTGGACTGAATGAGCCTGTGTATGGACCACAGGCTCAGCCAGCCTCAGTGCATATACTTCATTCTTTGGATTTTGCCTATTGGAAGTGTTTATAAACTTTAAACGACCTGGCAGTTTTGGCTGAGAGCCTTACTCCAGGGGCTGCCTGATGGTTGTCTTCAAAATGAGCAAACTTTCAATGATGACTGCTCCTTAATGAACCTGTTTTCCTTTGGGGCTGTAAATGAGGCCTAGCTTTCATGTCTAAGTCCTACATGCACCCACGCAAAAGGTAGATGTTTATTTTTTTAAAACTGTATTAATGTCCCCAATCCGGTGGGAAATTTAAATTAGAAGGGCAGAGAGATGAGTGTCAATGCTCCAGCAACTACATGTGAATAAGGTATTAAAGTGTGTTTCCAATCATCATGTTCAAGAGATTTGCAAAGAGGTGCACTTGTGGATGTTCACATGGCTGAAGAAACACAGGGAGCACTCTTCACCAAACTGGAGACCCGGGGGCACTCTCCACCAAGACCAGAGACCCAGGGGTGCTCTCCACCAAGACCAGAGACCTGGGGGAATTCTTCACCAAGACCAGAGACCCAGGGACACTCTCCAACAATACCAGAGACTGGGGGTGGGGGGGTGCACTCTCCACCAAGACCAGAGACAGTGGGGTGCTCTCCACAAAGAACAGAGATCCGGGAGGCTCTCCCCACCAAGGTTAGAGACCCTGGGGTGCTTTCCACCAAGACCAGAGACTGGGGCAGGGTGCGCTCTCCACCAAGACCAGAGACCAGGGGGCGCTCTCCACCAAGAACAGAGATCTGAGGCCTCTCTCCACCAAGATCGGAGACCACAGGGTCCTCTCCACCAAGACCAGAGATGGGTGGGGGGGGGCACTCTTCCACTAAGGACAGAGACCCTGGGGCACTCTCCACCAAGAACAGAGACCAAGGGGTGATCTCTACCAAGACCAGAGACCCGGGGGCGCTCTCCACCAAGACCAGAGACTCGGGGTGGGGGGGCGCACTCTCCACCAAGAACAGAGACCAAGGGGTGATCTCTACCAAGACCAGAGACCCGGGGGCGCTCTCCACCAAGACCAGAGACTGGGGGTGGGGGGGCGCACTCTCCACCAAGACCAGAGACAGTGGGGTGCTTTCCACCAAGAATACAGATCCAGGGGGCTCTCTCCACCAAGGTTGGAGACCCTGGGGTGCTCTCCACCAAGACCAGAGACCCGGGGGCCCTCTCCACCATGACCAGAGACCCGGAGGCACTGTCCACCAATACCAGAGACCTGGGGCACCGTCCACCAAGATCAGTGACCCAAGGGTGCTCTCCACCAAGAACAGAGACCCAGGGGCTCTCTCTACCAAGACTATAGATGGATGGAGTCAGTGGCAAGTCTGTGGTAAATTCTTGGATGTAAGAATTACAAAATGCCTTGGACATGTGGGAAAATTATAAGAGGAAGAGTGTGTAGACCTCAGGGGCTCTTTACATTTGTCACCTTGAGTGAACAAAGCTCACCTCCTGGGTATGGACCCTGAGGAGTAGGCAAGCTGGGTTCTGATGAGACTCGACTCTGAACATCACACCTGGAGAAAACCATTCTCTGCATCCAGGGCCTTGTCCAGGTCATTTCTATGCATCCCCCAACTCCATCCCACCAACATGTCTTTGGATTTCAAACTAACCCGACTGTCCAGGAAGCCTTTTCTGACCTTCGTGAATTATTTCCATTGTGCTCACTCGCGTCTTCCCCACTTTAGCAGGCTTACCCTGAAGTGTTATTTCCCAAACCTTCAGAAACCCTGACTAGATCATTTTGAAGATGGGGCATTAGCATTTGTGTGAATGCTTAGCAAACAATGGAAACCCTCAGCCAGGCTTGAGCTGTGCTCTCTGCGCTCTGACCCTCACTGGCAGGGGCACCTCGAGTTCCACTCCCTGTTGCATCATCAGCCTTGGAGCAGTGTCTGACAATATGTATTCAGTTATTATTTACTAAATGAAACTAATTTTTAAATGATTAAAAATCAGAATTAAAGTCTATGTTTCATTCTGTCACTACCAGGTTTTTTTTTTTAGCTGACTACCAATTTGTTAGATTTTTTTAAAAATGTGATTTCACATAATTATAAAGGCATATTTACTGATGTTACGTAAACTGTCTGGCACATGAAATATCCAGGAAAGAGTTTTCCTTTCAGCTCTCATGACACAGCTTGTTGGGGCCCGCTGCCTATTTAGCTGGCCTCTAATTAATTTATTAGATTTTTAAAGTGTGATTTCACATAATTACAAAGACATATTTGCTGATGACGTACCAAATATCTGGTACATTACAAATGTCCAATAAATGTAAGTTCCCCTTTCATTCCTCTCATGGCATGGATCATTCAGTCTGCTTATTTACATAGTGTTCACAATGTTAACAAGTTTAGACAGTGGTTTTATATTTATTACCCTCTTTTTAATCACATCTTTAATTTTATCGGTTTTTAAAATATTTTCCAGTCTCAGGGCAAGTCCAGTACATATGATTTATATTCAGCAGGAGCAAACATCAAGTGGTTCAGAAGGCATCAAACGATTTTTCAAAAACTGTGTGTGTGTGTGTGTGTGTGTGTGTGTGTATGTATGTATATATCTGCATACACACATACAGTTGACTCTTGAACAATGCAGGGGTTAGGGGCACACAGTCAGAAATCCACATTCCACATAGAACTTTTGAGTCCCCCAAAATTTAACTACTAATACCCTACTGTTGCCTGAAAGTTTCACCAATAACATAGGCAGGTGATTGACACATAGACTGCTCTCTACATATATGCATTCATAACATATTTAACTTTTGTTTTGTTTCGTTATTTTGAGACAGGGTCTCACTCTGTCACCCAAGCTGGAGTGTAATGTGCAATCGTAGCTTACCGAAGCCTTGACCTCCTGGGCTCAAGCGATCCTCCCACCTCAACCTCCCGCCTAAGTCCCCCAAGTAGCTGAGACTACGGGCCTGCCACCACACCTGGCTAATTTTTGTAGAGATGGTGTTTCACCACGTTGCCCAGACTGTCCTTGAAATCCTGGGCTCAAGTGATCTGCCTGCCTTGGCCTCCCAAAGTGCTGGGATGACAGGAGTGAGCCATTGCACCCTGCACTTTTTGTTATTTTTTTCCCCAATATTTCTAGGCTAGAAGGTTCATCTATAAGTTTTTTCAAACTGTAACAAATCACCAAGAAATTTTCCAGTATGTTTATTGAAAAAAATCCTTGTATAAGTGGACCAGGGCAGTTCAAATTTGTGTTGTTCAAGGGTCCACTGTCTGCATAAAAATACATATATACATGCACACAAGTGTAAATGATAGATATAGACAGTAAATTACAAAGCAAATTGGGTAAAATGTTAACAGTAGGTAAATCTGGGTAAAGGGTGAATGGGATATGGATATTATCTCAACTATTTTTGTAAATATGAAATTATTTCCTAACAAATTTTTTTAAAAAAATTAAGCAACTTATGACTACTTCATGAATTTTAGTTACAAGCAGTATGTGGAGTAAATGCTTTGTACTAAATTTGAACACAATGGTGTTTATGGTGAACCTGAAATATAAAATAACAGTGTTAACATGTCACCGTCTCTTCTGTGGAGTGATACATGTATGCCTGTGTATGGTGGTTGGCATTTATGTGTATTTTCCCAGCTCCCCAATGATAAACCTAAAAACCTCTAAACCTAAAAGTCTCAGCGCTAAAAATCCAGCAAGGTCAAACAAAGATTTCAGGGGCCCAAGCTCATCTATTAGCATAATATGAACCCAGCCCGTGTAACGTACTGAAATTGTGCCATGCCACTTACACTTAAACAGACAGAAGTTCTCTGCTCTGGGTCTCTCAATATACATTTTTTCAGCACCCTGCTTCACTTTAGAGGTGAAGTTGTGGGCTCAATGTTACCCACATCACTTGCCCATTAAAAAAGCCACCATCGTCATAATACCATAATTTTCTGCATGAAATTTTGGTCTCCTTACCCTTGTAGAGGTTCCTCTATGTACAAGTTTGCACAAAACACTGCAGGGATTATAAACCATGAAGAAAACATGGTTTCCTTTCAATGCTCTGCAGAGTTTGGCCTTTTGAGTAACCTTTTTTTTTTTTTCTGGGAGCTTTCTTTCTCTTTTTTTTTTAATTATTTTTTGAGATGGAGTCTTGCTCTGTTGCCCAGGCTGGAGTGCAGTGGCACGACCTTAGCTCACTGCAAACTCTGCCACCTGGGTTCAAGCGATTCTCCTGCCTCAGCCTCCCAAGTAGCTGGGATTATAGGAGCGTGCCACAACACCTGGATAGTTTTTGTATTTTTTGGTAGAGATAAGGTTTTACCATGTTGGCCATGTTGATCTCGAACTCCTGACCTCAAGCCATCTGCCTTCCTCGGCCTCCCAAAGTGCTGGGATTACAGGTGTGAGCCACCGTGCCTGGCCTAAATAAGGTGTCTTTGAACAGAAACATGTATAAAACTGAATTATGTATTGATCGTTGATGAAAATGTGATCAGAGGTTTTTGGGAACCAACCCTGTATTTCCTTGAGGAGCAGTATTGGCTAATTCAGTGTTCCTGGTGACTTTACCACAAATAATGAGAGTTGACTTGCATGTGTGTGTGTGTGCGTGCACACGTGCATGTGTGTGTGTGTGTGTGTATATATATAAAATAATTATTACTGTTTGCTGAATCATTTGAGAGCAACTTGCAGACATTATGATCCTTCATCCCTGTCTTAGAGTGCATTTCCTAAAACCAAGGACATTCTTTTACATAAAGTTACTTTATCAAATTCTGAAAATTTAATATTGTTACAATATTGTTATTTGGTGGTCATTCTAAATTCAAATTTTTCCAATTTTTCATTAGTTGTAAGTTCTTTCTGATGCAGAATCTAGTCCAGATCACACATTACATTTATTTGCCTCCTGAGTAGCTGGGATTATCATGCCCAACTAATTTTTGTATTTTTAGTAAAGATGGGGTTTCGCCATTTTGTGCAGGCTGATCTTGAACTCCTGACCTCATGATCTACCCGCCTTGGCCTCCCAAAATGCTGTGATTACAGGCATGAGCCATTGCCCCCGGGCTTGCAAGCTCTTTTTTAACTTCTCTTCCTGGACAAGTCTCTGTTGTGGCTCTCCTTCAGTGTCTCTGGCCAGTCATTCTCAGACTGGGAAAGCCAGGTCCTTCTCCTCCTTGGCCTTCTCATCATCCATCTCCTTCCTCCTGGGCCACTCTTCTGTCCTCATTTATTCCGGGTTTTTCCTTTTCAAAAACCTGTTTCATTCTTATGTATCCTGTGGACTTGATGAAATCTTACATGACTTCATACAATCACATGGCACGCGTCTCCTGGAAAGTTCAGAGATCTGTCTGTTCATTAACCCCCTCCAGTGGGACTCTCATTGATGTGGCAGCAGCAACATGAGGAATAGAATCAGAAAACATTTCCTGTAGCCATTTGGCTCATTGGAGTGAAGGAATTTTTTTTACAGTTTTCAAGTTATGCTGTTTTCTAAAGTTTTGACCATTTATTTTTATGTCACAGAGATGAAATTGATTTTGAGGTCTTATTTTTGTTACACAAATCTAGAGGAGAGTGTGTCAGTATCTCTTCTAAGTATTAGACACATTCATTTGCTTTTTCCTGGAGGAAAACATGCAGGAACAAGAACCCAAAATTCTAGATATCATTAATTTTTTAAATTTAAATAATTTCTAAGAGAAAAGAGACGTTATCCATACAATAATTATGCAACTCCAGTTATTATTATTATTAGTATTATTTTTGAGACAGAGTCTCACCCTGTTGCCCAGGCTGGAGTACAGTGGTGTGATCTCAGCTCACTGCAACCTCTGCCTCTCAGGTTCAAGCGATTCTCCTGCCTCAGCCTCCCGAGTAGCTGGGATTACAGGCACATGCTACCACACCTGGCTAATTTTTTGTATATTCAGTAGAGACGGGGTTTCACCATGTCTGTCTTGACCATGAGGCCTCACCACCATGTGCTCACCATCATAAGGCCAGGCTGGTCTTGAACTCCCTACCTCAGGTGATCTGTCCACCTTGGCCTCCCAAAGTGCTGCAATTATAGGTGTGAGCCACTGCGCATGGCCCCCAGTTATGTTTGAATGGTTGCTTTCCATCTTGTGGGTGTGTTCTTTAGCAATGACCAGGCTGAAGCAAGTTCCTCCCAGATAGTTCCATCTTTGCAAATTAAGAGAAAGACAGCTAGTGTGGATAATGGAAGGGTGACTTCCAATGTATTCTCTGGAATTTTAGTGAAAAAATTAATAGTGGGTACAGCTCTGCACAGATGGGCTCCCTTGGTTCATGTGACCACAGATGTTTTGGTATCGTATTGCATGTGATTTCTGTAGCTGTTAAGGTATTCCCATAGTAATACTTATGTGGACACGTTCTTGTAAAACTTCCCACCAAAATTCAGAGTGAAAAAACTAACATATCAGGGTGAAATTATCTCAGGATGCAATATGAAGTCTTAAGAAGTATAACTATTCATTTCTTGTCTAAATTGAACTTGAATCTTGAGATAATCCCAGAAAGTTTTGACCTCGCCCTGCCTCCGTCCTTAAATACATTCCCTTGAGTTAGGTTGAGCCATCAGACTGGTTTGCAGAGTGCCCAGTCCCAAAGGCTGGGCAAGAGACCGGTCTTTGGTCTTCATGACTCAGCATCCAGTCTCTGAGGGTGGGTGAGGCTCAGTCCTCAGTCTTGGTGACTGTCTTTGTCTGCTTGTGCTGCTATAACAAAATACTGGGTAATTTATAAACAATGAACATTTATTTCTCCCGGTTCTGGGGGTGGTAAGTCCAAGATCAAGTTCCCAGCAGGTTCAGTGTGTGGTGAGGGCTACTCTCCGCTTCCAAAGATGGTGCCTTGTTGCAGCAGCCTCAGGAGGAGATGAACGTCGTGTCCTCATATGCTGGTGAGCATGGGCTGCGGGGTCTCGTCCTCATCTGGGGTGTCCGTACTGGTGAGGGTGGGCTGGGGTGGTCTCATCCTCATCTAGGGGGTTTCTGTAGCAGTGAGGGTGGGCTGCGGGGTGTCATCCTCATCTGTGGGATGTCCGTGCTGGCCATCACCGAGTTGAGCACTTCCCATCCTGGAGTCTTGGCCACAACCCTCACATACAGACAAAAGTCGATTTGGGTCCAGCGGCTCTTTCAGCACGTGGTGCCAACCTAAGACATGAGGCCTCCTGCTGGAGCTCCAGGAAACTCTAGTCTCTGCCCTCCTCTTGCATCCGTAGGATCGCTGGGCTGCTGCTGGGGCTTGGCAATCCTCAGAGACCTTGGACTTGTCTGCTTGGAGATAAGGCACAGTCATTTCATCTCCAACTGCTGCCAAGCCCTGCTGGCTGGCAGGACATTTGGACTCTCTCTCCCTGGGTTTTCCCAGGACAGAGGTTACAGATCCTTCAGCTCTTAGGCTGATGTCACTTCCACTCCTTGATCTCAGCTTACAGGAAAGGTGGAGAGAAAAGGCGATCAGAGCAGAGTCCCTTTCTGAAGACACACTTGGTCCTCCCCTGCCTGGGTCTGCAGGGGTCAGAAGCATTTCCATAGCAGTCATTTTCATACAGGCCCTGGCTCCCATTAGGCAACCTTCCTCTTTGGAAAACCCAATAGCCAGGAATTTAAAAGGCAGGACTCTTTTCTCTTAATTTTCTCCTGAAAAACCCTTCCCTGAGGCAACCAGACCCAGCTGCTGCCCAAATAGGAAGGAAGGTCAGAATTGACAGGAATTCACAAGGAAAGAGAGCATAGGTTTATATTTCAGGGTATCAGTCATGCGGCCATGGGATCAGATTTGGAACTCTGTGATTAAGCTAATTTCTGGCATTAGGCTCAATCCCTCTGTGACAGAGAAGTGTAAAATTGTCAAAAAATGAGCATTATTTTAGCAACACAATCCTGACACTATGAGAGGGAGAAAACTGGGTTGGATCAAGTATTCATCTTACCCAGTAAGCCATTATAACTCAGGCTTTTGATGCATATTTTGGGCTGTTATTCATCAAGGTGGTCAAAGTCATGAAGAACTGTATGTTATTCTATAATATACTTTCTATATTAAGTCTGTTCAGATGATACCACATTTTCTACATCACTGATCCATTAAAAAAAAATCTTTCTTTGAATGCCTCTTGCCACTAATCAGGCTATGATATTCAGTTTTTGAGATAGGTTAACAAATTGAAAACCCAGCTTTAAATGTTATGGTAGTTTAAAAATAGAAGTGTTTTACTTCAAACTATTCTGAGTTGCTGCTTAGAGCAATAAAAATGTACTTTATAGCTTGTTAACCTAGATCTCAGGGATATCCGTTCTACAATAATGGAAGTAGATTTGTTTACTGTCTAAATCAGCCTTGTCAGAACAATGCTCTCCAGTGACTTTTTAAAGTCAGAGTAAACCAATACATTCTGTCTTCTGTGATTATACAGCATGGCATGGTGTTCTCTTGTATACTTGTGTTTTGAATATGAGTAACAGTCTTTAGCTGACTTTAGCATTTTGGAGAAATCTGTATATGTGGCTTCTACTTATATAAGCATCTACCAAATATATTAACTGAGTTTTATAGTCCGGTTATTTTCCATTTCAGTTACTTCCAAGACTCTTCGATATGCACTTACATACTTCATACTCATTAAATGAAGATATTGGAAGCTACCTTATTTTGAGGTACAGCATAAAGCACCAGCAGAGCTTAGTTACTACACATTTTAGCACAATCTCCTGTAAGTTACTGCATGCTGCAAAAGAGCTGAATGAGTCAACAGACATTGTAATGGTGATGTGTAACTCATAACCTGAAATAAACTATGTCAAATCGATTAGAAAGGTCTGAGCACATCTGGAAAATTGGCAGGTAATTTAGAAAGAAATGACTAGTTATTAAGAACTCAGGCCAGTTAAACTGGGAGATTAAAATGTATTACATTGAGAGACTATTGCCATCAATTGCCATTTGTTATTGAACATAAAATGCAGCCTAGTTTTGAGACTCAAGTGATGAACCCTTCCCATGGGTTCTTTCTACCTTTCTACTGGTCCTCAAAAACAAGTTAAAGCAAAAAAGATTTAAGTGATAAAATGTGTTTATGCCTCTTGGATGTATACTTTTTTTTAATCTAAGGAAGAAACCTTATGATATGATATGATGAAACCATCCTCTCTGGATTCTAATCCTAAGTAAATACTGACCAGCTGCATTAAGAAATTTTCTGTTTTTTTCTCCAGATCTTCAAATGCTCCATTAAAAAAAGAAAGTTTGTTCTAGTGTTTTCCCATCAGCATTTACCTACTCTTATGTACCTTCACCACAATCAAAACTGTTTTCCAGCCCAAACTTGGCCTCCAGGCCCTCACTGCTCTAGAGCCAGCCCCTCCTAATGGTTTCGCTCACACTCAGCGCCTTAGCTTCCCCTCCTCAGGGTCACTTAGAGAAGGAAATACTTCTGCCTCTTTGTACCACCTCCTGCCAGAAAGGAGACCCCGCACTGTACCTGATTCTTTGGGTCATAGGAACAGCATGTGCCCCACGTGGGCATTCTCCTCAGTCTTTATATCACATACCCTGTGAATCAGCATGCTGGGGTAGGACCCCAGGGTGGAAACTGTTGAAAGCCGTCCAGCAGGCAATGAGGTATGCTCTACCCTGGAGGCCTGGTAACCTTCACGACCCCCTTGAGCTTCAAGTCTCTGTGGCTGATGGTTTTAATGATAGGAGCCCAGAAAGGGAGGCAGCTTCCACCCAGCTGCACCCCTCGAGGTCTTGTGCTCCCTGACCGGGCCATCAGCTACATCCTTTTGCAAAGCAGCCATCAGCTTATGATGGGGTCTTGCTAAGCTGAGTGCCTGCTCCAGGAAAGCCTTGTGATGCTCATACGTGGTCCGATACTTGTATTTGGGGTGAGCCAGCTTAGGTTTAACGACTAAAGGACAGGAAGAGCCCGGCAAGCCTTGCTTGTGAAATGGACACGGTATATCCAGGAACACACCCAGTCTGACCCCAGCAGCACTGCACTTTACATGGAAAGTTAGCAGCTATCCATTATTCATTTCAACTGCAATGCTATTGCAGTCAGGCAGTGCAGAGAGACAGCAGTTTTCCCTTATCCAAGTGATCTTGAGAAGGGGAAGTTGAGGCACTAAGTAGAAGGAAAACCCTTAGGGAAGGTTGGCTCTAAAGAGCAGGAAATTTATCCCTCCCTCATGCACCTGAAGCAAGCTGGTGCTCAGTGGGACCCACAATTCATAGAAGTTCCCTAAATGCCTGGGCCTGGTTCAGTGATGATTTGGCTGAGCTGAGACCTGGGAGTGCTCTCTGGCTTGCTGCAGCCATTCCATCTCAGCTCCAATGAGACAGGGCCAAAGATGGACCTGATTCTCCACCCAGTGGGCAGAACTCAAGGCCATTCTCAGCTATAACTGCTACTTCCCTTGGTAATCCCTGTTACATTCTTCCCAACTCTTAGGCTGTTGCCAATGGCCTAGCTATTTGGTTTGCCACCTGAAAAAACCAGACAAGCAGATAAAAGGCACCTCTTTGGGGGGCTGTAGACCATGGAAACAAATCATGCATGGAACCATGTGGGTCACTCAGGTACAAGCCCACAGTGTGGACCTGTTTCGATGAGACCAACTGGAATGAGCTGCTGATCCAGATGGCACTGGCCACATAACCACCAGGCTGCCTGAGTTTACCTTCATACTGGGCATTGCAGCACATCCCCCATCACAACATGAGCACAAAGGAAACCCAGTTTCTGACACAGAGCTGCCACTCACTGCATGCAGGTGTTTTATAGTCCGGTTATCTTCTGTTTCAGTTGGTGTCTCAGGAGGCCACACTTCCCTGGGCAAGGCCCCCCCTGCTCCTGGAAGACTGACTACGTTGGACCCCTGACCTCCACTCAGGGCTGACACTGTTCCAGGCTATGTTGTTACTGTCCCAGTCTGGTCAGCCAACTTCAGCCACACCACCAGTCCGCTTGGTTCTTACTTTCTGTTTGCAGTCTGACAATGGAACACCTTTTGTCAAGGAAACCACTCAGGAGTGGACAGATGACCTTCCATGCCATTGCCATCCACAGGCACCAGGCATTGTTGAGCACTGGATCAGTCTCTTCAAAAACTGACTCAAAGACATCTGACTTTGGTCTCCTCCTGGTCACACGCTTGACTAAGACACGTTGTTCACTGAATGTAGCTGTTCCAGAAAGGGACCATCTTCTCTTGGCTGCTTCTTGAGTAATGACCAGAATGAAGGGGCAAGGAATCATCTAGATCTATTTTGAAAATTTGATAACCTTTCCTGATCATTCCTGGACATGAGGCTTCTCTCTTTACCCTAACAACTCCCCCAGGCCCACGTGGTTAGTGCACCCCCGTGAGCCCAGCGCGTTCTAGTCTAATTCTGATGCGACCACCTGGATGCTCATGCCGCATTGCCATGGACTGAGATAGGTGGGACAGGGACCACTGGCTGAGAGCTCCGCCCCCTGACCCCCCTACAGTGGTTCACACAGGCCAAAATGGTGGCCGTGACAGGCCTCTGTAGACTTTATTAAAATCCTCTGTGCCTCTTGCACCTGACTGTCCAGATGGAAAGTCGGGAGTGAGCAGGGGCATGGGGAGCAAAGTAAAGCTCCAGCCACTGACATAGGGCACACTAATTTTATTCCAGTGGAGGGAGAAGAACCACCTCAGCCTCAGGAGCCTCGGCCCACACCCCAGAGAACCACCTCAGCCTCAGGAGCCTCGGCCCACACCCCAGAGAAGAACCACCTCAGCCTCAAGAGCCTCGGCCCACACCCCGGAGAAGAACCACCTCAGCCTCAGGAGCCTCGGCCCACATCCCGGAGAACCACGTCAGCCTCAGGAGCCTCGGCCCACACCCCTCTACCTCCACTAAGAGGTAAGCGGGGTGAGGGCTATGAATGACCTTTTTCCTTTACTGTCATCCCTGGTGTCTGTCTTCCTTGTGAAGGAAAATAACTTGGTGCCGCTCACCCAAACTATTACAAGCACCTTAACTGACTGCTGGCTCTCACATCGTCACCAGGCAGCTCTGAACACAGCTGGACTGCCATTGCCCTTAACTTACCGAGAAATTTTTGGAAACAGCAGGGGAGGGCCTCGGCTCGACTGGCAGTGTGGACAGACAGGGCAGGGTAAATGGATGGCTCTCAAACAGTCTCTCCAAAGCCGAGAAGGACTTCACCCAGTTGCTCAAACTGAACTGGAAACGGTGCGTTTTACCAGCAGATCAGGAGGCTACATTGTAGTGATTGTCAAAGTGCACTTCTCAGTTCACACTGGTCCCAACAGTCAAGGAAGCCCAACTTGGGGGTGCCAGCAATTGTAACCCACACTCTGTTTTCAGAGGCACCACGCGTGCCCCAGATCTACACTCCTTGTATGGGAGGGAGTCAGGTACTAAGTTGCTTTTCTTCCCCAAAACGTGCTTTCCTTTCCCCTTACACCTTATGGATTCTCTTGAGAATGGAAGTCGACACCATCGATAGACCGTGCAGCACTCCGACGGCTATGCAGATCGAAAACAGAGCCGCCGTGCTTACCCTCACCCTGTGGGCAGTCAGATATGATGGGAATCACCCAGTTAGAAAGATGGCATGGAATCTGTCCCTGACTTCAAATGAAGTAATCAATGGTATTGCCCTGGAAGGCAAGCAAGTCAGCCTCCACTCACCAGCGAGAGTTGTCAGGGATGGTAGCATTGCCCCAGACTCACTCTTAGTGGCACAATCAATCACGAACTCAGTCATTCATACCTTGGGACGTAAAGAAATGACAGTGAATGGCAGTAACAAAGGCACACCACAGCAAGGGACCCAAGCTCGGCGCACCATTGTCCTTTTTCATTCTGGTTTTGCTGAGCTGCTGTTGCTTGGCCTTGCACAAATGCTGACTGGGAGTAGTCTGAGACCTGGAGTGGGACACACGTCCTTCCCATGACTAAAACTGCTGATGAATATGATAATATTTCTACACTAGCCTCCCTCAAGCCCAGAACCATGATCTGGAACAGCATTTGCATGGAGCACCAAATTACAGGCCTTAATCCAACAAGTATTTCTTGATTATACGACTTGATTCCAGGTTAGACAGATGGAAAAATGCTGATAAATATAAAACATGTCTTGCTCTCTAAAAAATTATAGTTTGGTTGCAAAAGTAAGACCAAGTTGACTAAGATATAATGGTCTTTTGTATCATTATGTGATCATTTGATCATTGTATCATTATTTGATCACCAAATTATATGGGGCCAAAAATAACACAAAATTGGGAAAGAGATTGTAATCACTGAGGGATGAAAAAAGGCAGTCAGGTTTTGAAAAAGAGCTCTATTTGGGTGCACGCCGAGCCTGCCTGACTGTCTACAAATGAAAATCAGGCCAATGCCTGTGGCCTGCAAGGCTTCTCGATATTCTAAGGTGACATGGATTGCATGTTATTATGCAATTTTTAAAAAAATGGTAGAGCCTCTGGATGAACGTGTTATAATTAGGTTTCCTTTTGTTGATTTGGAACTCTTTCTGTTCATTGCTGTGTGAAACACGCTTGTGGAAGGAATTATGCCAGCTTTGCATAGTGTGCATTTTTAGAGAGAACATTTTCATTGAAACAGAATCAGAAATGTAACAACGAGTTGGGTAGAAATTTGTCATGATTCTTGTTGGCATATATTATTGTTGCTAAAGGCATTTATTAAACTTAATGAAAGTGTTCATTAAGAACACTGAAGATTATAATGCTGACAAAAACACCAAAAAAAGTCATTCTACTACATTGAAGATTAAAAATAAATAAGCTACCCCATCAAACCAAATAAACTATAACTTTTAGGTAATTATAAAATACAACTTCACCTGCCTGGGCAACATGGTGAGATCCCCGTCTCTACCCCCCCGCCCCCAAAAAAAAATTTAGCCATGTGTGGTGGCATGCGACTGTGATCTCAGCTACTCTGGAGGCTGAGAAGGGAAGATGGCTTGAGCCCAGGAGGTCAGGGCTGCAGTGAGCAGTGTTCGTGCCACCGCACTCCAGTCTGGGTGACAGAGTGAGACCCTCTCTCTCAAAAAAAAAAAAAAAAAAAATACAACTTCAAATGAATGAATACTATATTTCAGGTGATAATTCCTAATAATAAAAGCAAAATATTACAACTACCCAGCATAACTGTCTATCTGTGATCTTTCACCCAAAGCTCATGGCCTTTGTACCATTCTGTGAATTTCAAGGTTATCAAAATATAGGGAATGTTAACTAATGGTCTAACATTTCTTAATCTTTACTTTGTATCAAATGGGGCTATTACTTAAATTCTTTGTATGTTTTAACGGTTTCTTATGAAAGCATACCTTCTTCACCCAGCCCGATCTTGACAGTAATGCCTAACACTAAACAAGTCAGTGTTGAGTTGTTTGTTTAATCTCTCCAAATATGTTGGTTTAAGACCTGTACAATTTGAAAATAAAACCTGCAATACTTTTTACATATGAATAGCAATTTACTTATGTCTGAAACCTTAGCAATAACTGCACAGAGAGCATCCAACAGTCTTAATTGGAGTTATCTGATTATTACTCACAGGATACCACAAGCTCTAAGAACATTTACTTTACACTGCTGGTGTTCTGGTCACCTCCTCGGTGAATTCACTGCTCCCTTTGCCCAAGTCGAACAGTTTCTATTATTTGTAACTTTTTCTTTGTAGTGTTTACTGTGAAGATAGCTGAATGTTTCAGCCAGGCTTTTTTCTTCTTTTACAGAATAATATTGTTCATGATCAACACAGATTCTACAGAGTGTATTAAAAAAATAGTCATCAAAAGCTTGATTGCTCCCAGCAGCCTTAGATCAGGCCTGTGTAGAGAAGGATTGACCATGAAGCCGAAAGGATCACTGATTGCCACCACACCTTCCTCAGCCCTGAGAGGGGCCTAGGCAGGGTGGTCACATGGCCATGTGTTCTTGTAAAATTCACAAACGTGAGATCGTTTGGCCACAGTCCTTTGTTACTGCTGCCTCTTTCTACCCTGACTTCACTCCAGCACATTCTCCTGCTGTTTAGAGGAATTGGAGTGGGGCTTGGCAGCTTCGGGATCTAGCTGGGGGAACATTGATTTGGAAAGACATTGAGTATGAGTTTAGAATGACACATTTTGTGGTTCACGCTTACTGCGGACTGTGCTGACTTACCAGGAGTTATTATGTGAAGGTCCAGGGATAATTTCTCCGTAAGAACGCATCCCACGGTGCTGGCAGCAGACCCACGAGGGTGGTAGAGGAGAAACAAGATTGGAAATGTCTGGAGTCACAGGCAAATCCGTGGTAAAATCTTGGATGTGTAAGAATTATAAAATGTATAGGCTACCTGGGAAAACTATGATAGGAAGGTTGTGTTCTCATCAATAATGCAGGGTATATTATAAACGTATCCATGTGTTCATTTATTTTTTCATGTGAATTATATGAAACATGTATCAGAATTTTTTCCTTTGTATGACACAATCTGTAGCAATTTAGTAAGCAAGCGGTCTGTGTGTGAAGGTGAATGTCTTATGCCTTTTAATATATTGGAACAGGTCTTAGTATATTTGATTATTTTGTTTCAAAGCCATCTGGCAGGTCCAAACAGCACATGTGTCATTCCAAAACCAATAATTTATTATGAGAAGGAAATACATTTTAAATAGAAGTAATGAATAGGCTCTCAGGTTATTAGACAACTTAATTAATGAAGAGAAGTGGTGCATACGAACCCATTGGGAAAATACTTGAATTTCTTGCTTCCTTGACAAAAGTTCTGACATCAATGAATATAATCTGATCTAATCTGCCAATGAGCCCCTACAACAAGGAACTAACGATAAACTTGTTAATGAGTGTCAGCAATTCAAAGAGAGTTTAAGATTAGTTCCTGGGCAACAAAACTTGAAAAACCTAGTATTCTTATTGCTTGCATGTGAGAGAAATTTGGAATTCCCCAAAAAATGTGCATGATATAACCAACAACAAGTCATGAAGCTGAAAGTAACTTTTTCAAACTTCAGTACTAAAAGAGAAATTTAGATCAACTATGCTGCTGGAAAGACTGGATTATCTTTCTGCTTTTTTCTTTATAAAATGATAGTCATAGTTTCGTATTCTTTTTTCAAAGAGCACCCCCAATTGTGCAAGCCTCAAGCCTGAGGAATTTGCACTCATCAAGTACCTGTGCCTGATGCGTTCTTTCCAGAACTGAAGTCTCATTGATAGGTGAGGTAATGCGATCCCAGCTGGTATAGAGATTTATTCCTCCAGGGAGTAGACAGTGAATTTATCCAGAAATGAATGTGTATACGTAAGAAAAGCTGTTCATACCAAGATTTACACACCTATGTTCCATTAAATGCAAAGGATGTGGTTTCATTTGATAATCGCTTCTGGTTGCCATCTTGGTAACGTTACACTGAGGTGCTGGAGAGGTCTGTAGCCATTTAGGGTCTTACCTTCAACTATTCTGTGTATCTGTTATCAGGGAATTTCTTCATTTCACGCTGAGCACCAGTGCTGTATTAGTGAGTGGGGTGTATAGTTTGTTGGCATGCACGGACTTCTGGTCCTATAAGCTTCAGGCTGCAGAAAGGGTTTAGCCCTGGACCATTCTGGGATGCGTCGTCAAGGCTGGTGCTTCTGCGGGAGGCAGGGCACTCAGGGCTTTCATGCTGCAATGGGGGAGTCCCATGGAAGCCAGAACGAGGTGGTCACCCTGATGTGAAGGAATCTGCAGAGGCAGGAAGAGCCCTGAAGCTAGCTCCACGTTCCCCTGTCCATGTCTACATTCACAGACACTTTCCCAACTCTCCAGGAGAAGCAGTGCAGAACGTTCTGGAAAGAGAGTGAAGTTTTGCCCTCCTAAGACTAGGTTTCTGATGAAAGTAGGACCACTGAACTGTAGGCAGCTACAGGATAGGGCCTGTCTGTTCTTCACCAGTGTAGCCTCAGCCGCGAGCACAGTGTGGAGCTGCTCACAGATAATGAAGACAGATGGTGCTAAGCGGAATCTCCTCTCTGCTGAGTGGGTTGCTGTAGTGGAAGAAGCACTGAAGAGTCCCAAGCGTAGGTTGAACTCCTTGAGTATGTCCTGAGAGACTGGGGCAGCCTGAGTCTCTGCGCGCACCAGCCTTTACACTGAAGTGAGATTCTATGTAAGAATATACCTTGTCTACCGGAATGCACCACAGGACTGGATATTGTTATGGTAAAATATTTTAGTAAAGGAAAAATAATGCCTAAATACATATAGCCTTTCAGAAATTTTCACACAATGGAAGTGCTGTGGTGATTATGAACACAGGCTCTGGAGCGATATTCCCTGAGTTCAATCCTGGATCTATCTGTTATCAGCTGTGTGACCTTGGGCAAGTTGCTTAATCTCTCTGTGTCTATTTTTTCATCTGCAAGTGAGGATAATCATAGAACCTACCTCACAGGGATATTGTAAGAATTAAATGAGTTCACACAAATACAGGACTTAAAGAGTGTCTGTCACTTAGGAAGCACACAATAAATATTAGCTATTATCGTTATGGTCTTCGTTTTACTTTATTGATGCCTAAAGTAATTTTGAACTAAAAATTGTGATTAAAATTTTGTTTTGTTTCAGAGATTTGGAATTACTGTCTAAATCCACCAAATCTTGATAAAATATTACAGGGAAAATAGAAGTTTGGGTAATGTCCCTATTTCATTATTTAGTATCTAGACACATTATTTAACTGATGTCTAATATGAACACTTATAAACCAAAGAAAGTGAGTTTAAATTTCACCAGGTGTTAAATATAAATACCTGTTTAATTCCGAGGGTGGTTATATCCTAGGACAAAGAGCTATCAAGGTTATATTGTAGTACACCAACTCTGGGAGATGAGGGCTTGAGTAAGTCTCTAGATACTTCTTTTTGTGTGCTGAGGGGTTTTGCAATTCTTTGGCTGTCACAGCCCTGTGTAAATTTTTGAAAATTAATGACAATTTGCTGGTAGTGGCCAGGTGGTGTGCCAGGGGAGAAAGAGGAGGTTAGAGGGAGATGCAGTACACTCTCACCAGGCAGTGTGAAGACAGGAGAGCTGGCATAGATGAGGCTTGGTAACAACCAGAAACCACGGGGGGAAAGCAGCCTCCCAGGAATGAGTCAGGGCCCAGAGGACGTCTCACCTTTCTAGGATCTGTGTGGCTACCGCTTCGGCACCACCTAGGAGCTGTCAAAATTGCAAGATCTCCAAGCCCGTGCCGGACCTTCTGAGTGAGTTTGTGTTTTATTCACCCCCACTGAGGACTGTGTGCAGGTAGGCATTCGGGAAGCACCGGGCAGGAAGCTGTCCTTCCATCCTCTCTTCACCTCTGCCCTGGCTCCTGCCGTCCTCTCTGTAAGGAAGGTCTTCCTCCCAGCCAGGGTGAGGCTGAGAGCTTTAGAGCCCTAAACACTGAGAAGACAATATGCAGATGAAATGTAATGAGGGCCTGAGCTACAGGAGTCACTTGGCATGGCAAGAAATCACTGGATACGAGTAATATTAAGATATTCACATTGTGAAACCTTGTTGCCCCGGGGAGGATAAGAAAAAGCAGCTTACGTTTATTGAGGTATTTACTTTCATTAGCCCCATCTTACAGGAGAGGAAACTGAAGCTGGAAATGAAATAACCTGTTCCAGGTCTGAGCGCAAGGAAGAGGGAAGGCCAGGACTCCTGGCTTTGGGTCTGCACCCGTCACCGTCACCGCTGTGCATGCAGAGGATGAGGGGAAGGTCAGGGAGCTGCAGGGAGCAAAAGGGTCTGGCTGTGGGGAAGGGCGGGGGAGAGAGAGCCAGTTCCTTATGGTCAGACCGGAACATCGTAATGCTCCCTCGAGAACTGATGCTCTGGTATCAGAGCATGGTCAGGCCGGAACATCGTAATGCACCCTCGAGAACTGATGCGCTGGTATCCAGGGAGGATCGGTAAAGGAACCAACACGCACATATGCACTCACAATGCTCACGGATGTCACGCAGCAGGACCTGGCAGGGCTGGCCTCTGCTTACAGAGGCCGACGTTCCCTCGCCCTGAGACATCAATTTTACTCCATCTCTTCTTGCCTCAAACTTTCCATATCCGTCCCCATTCTACCCTCACTTCTTCAACCTGTGATTCCTAGGTGATTCCTACAAGGAGACGTGATAGCGTGCAAGACTCAACTCCCGTCTTCAATGAACTTACGTTTCAATGAGAATGTATGGGTCTATGGATACTTCAGATAGTCTCATGTGAACAATCTTACCACCTGCAGGAAGAGCATTTGGAACCATGGCCCATTCTTTCTTCAAACTTCTTTTGGCTTCCACGGCATCTCTTTCTCTGCATTTCCTCTTTCCTCACTCCTTGGCTGGTGTGAGGGCCCCCGAGCTGCCACTCTAAGCTCATCTCTTGCCGTCTTTCTTATTCCTCAGGCTCCAAACACACCGGCTTCCCCGCCATCCCCCAAGCGTGCCAAGCGCTCTGCTGCCTCCGGGACTTGCTGTTTGCTTTTCTTTCTGCCCCAGCGCCTTTCCTGTGGCTGGCTCCTTCTCAGCCATCGGATTTGGCTCAAATGTTGCATCTCCTGAGAGCCTGTTTTTAAACCCTTGATTTTCCTCAGTTCTATTACCTTGTTTATTTTATTCAAAAGACTTATCATGAGCTGAAAGTATCTTTTTGTTTGCTCATACTCTATCTCCCTGACTAGAATTCTTCAACTACGCATCCCGTCTATCTTATTTGCTTCAGCATCTCTCATGATTAGAACATAGCCTTGGTGAGTATTATAGTCTCATTAATTTTTAATCAAATGAATGAATATATAATATACAGATACATAATACAAACAATTTAACCTGGCACATAAAAGACCAGGAGAGATAAGACATCCATTTTCTGGTATTTAGAGGACTGTCATAAAGAAGAGGGATTTACCCTGGGCTACATCGGCTCTAGGAGATGGAACCGACTAAGAGTGGGAGCCGAAGCAGGTATATATTGGTGCAATTTAAGGAAGAACTTCCTACCAGGTAGAGTGTTCAAAGATGTAATAGCCTTTTTGGGAAGGTGATGAGCCTCTTACTACAGTTTTTCCCAAATAGACAGGTAGCTTCTGGGAAGAGATGATGTAAAGGAGATTCATAGCTGCTTGTAATAAGTGGCTTTTAAGGTTTCTTTCAATCCTGATTGTCTCTTAGAAGTTGGGTGCAGTGACTTTCTCTAAGGCATGTACTGTTCCAGGATGATACATAGATAAAGGTGAGGTTACTAGGAAAATGGACTCGATTGTTTAGCTGTATCCTAATACTTGTTTTCAAAGAGTAAGCTAAACACTTACAGTTTTTAAATTTAAAAATGAGATAGAGATCAACAACCTCAAAAACAACGTATTCAAATCCTGTGGCACCGCCTTTGCTCAGGGAGTCTTTAAAGTGCTTATTCTAGAATTTCCTGGAGAGTCATGTAACAGGAAGTTGTGCAAATTTGTTAAACACTTTATTTGTTAGATTTCAGTTTAAAAAACTTCTGCTTTAAATCCATTCCTAGCGGGTAAAGATGTACCTCCACTAATTTGAAAGAACAAGTTAAAAGCTCTGAAAATAATTATAAAAGAGTGCACCAAAAAAATATTTGCCACAATGGCAGGATCGCTAAGGTAATTACAGTTCCTTCCAAGGTCATTACTTGGTGACAAATGCCTATTGGATATATTGGCTGTGTTGGGCATAGTAAAGAACAATGCCCAGGCGTATTGCCTGATGGGAATGTGGCCTGTGTGTGTCCATGCGTACATGCAGATTACAATACCAAATCTCTTCTTCTTAATCGTTTTTTGTTTGTTTTGACAAGAAGATTCTTACTCTATGGTTTCACACGTTGCATGCTAAATATTTCAGCCTTTGCAAATGTGATAAGTATGGGTTCTGACATTTTGAAGATCTTTTCAGAATATTTTAGAAATGTATTATGTTTATTCTACATATGCATGATCAGTGTTTTACATGTGATTATAGCTTTGCATTTACAAAGAAAATAACTGTTAAGTAGGAAGCAATCCATTTGGATGCTCTAAAGAGTAATTTGAGTGGCTTGTAAACCTTTTACTGTTTTGTCTTAAATATATGGCTGATGATATACCTTTAAGTAGCCTTAAAATACTATAGTTTACTTTCTATGAATGACTGCAGAAATTTCAAGCATACACACAGTGCATAACATTCTACATTATATTTTTACTTTTAAGAAACAAAATGTTTTTCCTGTCTAGTTCTAATTTATCACTTTGTAGTTATGCCCAGTGAACTGATAGGCCATTATCCCATCTTATTAAAACACTCAGGGCTTGCTATCCCGACAATATATCAAAAGAAAAGCAAAACAAGAAGATGTATACAGAATACTTAAGTCAATTTTATCTTCAGAGTGCGGTTTTCAGGTAGAGACGTTGTAATTGTTAACAATAAAGGTAAAATGTAGTCTGGTTTTGCTTGAGTTTTCAGATCAATTTTTTAGACAAAAATCATCCTATAGTTTAGTATTTGGCCAAATTATTTTCTTCTGAATCTCCCAAAAAGGAAATAAAGTATTCCTCTTATCAATTTGACCCCATAACAAATGCTGCCCTTTGGGCTTTTTTTCTTCAATTCCAAAAGCATTTTAACAACCATAATCCAAGACAAGAAGATAATATATTTATCATCTGATCATTTTTACAACTTCTGTTTTTCTGCTATAATAATATACCTTACTGTTAATCCTTCCCAGCTGTTGGAGTAAAGCACTTAGATTGAACTATGTCTGGGTTTTAAAGATCCAAAGCTGGAATGTTTTATTGTTGCTACCTTTTAATTAAAGGAAAACTAAAGGTTAGCTAGGTCCTGATAAAATTGGAATCAGATTAAGGTGAATTTTTCTCCCATACTACAGTTTGTTGTCAGGTTTTAGGTAGTAATACTAGAATCAGACCCACCCCCGACCATCTGACTGTGCAGGTGAGAACTGTCACTTTGTCTTCAAGAAGCTTCAGGAAAGGAGGATGGGAGATATTTGGGAATATATTTTTCTCTAGGGGAAAAATAATAATATGTTAATAATTTAAATACCCAAGTTTTTAATATTGGGGAATGTATTAGTCTGTTTTCACGCTGCTGATATATACATACCCAAGACTGGGTAATTTATAAAGAAAAAGAGGTTTAATGGACTCACAGTTCCATGTGGCTGGGGAGGCCTCACAATCATGGCAGAAGGTGAAAGACACATCTTACATGGCGGCAGGCAAGAGAGAATGAGAACCAAGTGAAAGGGGTTTCCCCTTATAAAACCATCAGATCTCATGAGACTGATTCACTACCACAAGAACAGTATGGGGGAAACTGCCCCCATGAGTCAGTTATCTCCCACTGGGTCCCTCCCTCAACATGTGGAAATTATGGGAGCAATTGAAGATGAGATTCGGGTGGAGACACAGCCAAACCGTATCAGGGAATATATACTTATGACTGTCTCTTACTTTTTTGTCTGCCTACTTCTCTTAATTTGGGAAACTGCCCCCAAATACCCCTTTATGTGATCGTGAGGGGTTTGTCAACCAAAGACTACATTCACCCTGCCTCAGGGTGGGCCCCTGTATCAGTTGGGACATTCCAGAGAAACAGAACCAATAGGTTAACACATAATAGGGAGATTTATCTTAGGGAATTGACTTGTGTGATTGCAGGGGCTGGCGAGTCTGAAATCCACAGGGCAGGCCAGCAGCCTGGAAATAAGTGTTGATGCTGCACTCTTGAGTCCGAAATCCGCAGGGCAGACTGATAGGCAGGAAACTCAGGCAAGGGTTCTATGTTACAGCCTTGAAGCTAGATTCCTTCCTCCTCCTTCAGAACCTCAGCTTTTCCTCTGAAGGTTTTCACCCAGCCAGATGAGGCTATATAGGGAGGGTAATTTCCTTTACATAAAGTCAACTGATTTTAAGTGTTAATGACATCTACAGAATACCTTCACAGAAACATCTACATGAATGACGCAACAGCTGGGCAACATGGCGCAGCCACAGCAACAAATAAAAGTAACCATTGCAGCCAGTGAGTCCCACAGGGCCCTTCTGTGAAACTCACACAGACTCAGGAAAACCACTGGGCATTTTCTCTCAAGTCGGGGAACAGCCCCTGCTGGTTGAAGGGCCTGCTAGAGAATGCAGCTGACCTGGGAGCACGTGGAGTGAGGGAGCGAGGGAGGCCATCCTGGTGGCAGTGTCCGATTCCTGGATACAGCCGTGCTGCCGCCCAACTCAACCCTGGAATTCCCTCTCTTGCTTGAGCAACTAAGACTCTTGATGAATGAAGAAGACTTTTAGAAACCTATTAATACTTAAGGTTAGGATGCAGCTTACATGTTAAATGACGTTCAGAAATCCATTCAGTCATTTTTTCACCAGTGTTTTAGTGCCTGCATTTTACCTTTATGGAAATGTTAGGCATTGAGATTAAAGTAGTGAGCAAGAGAAACCCAGTGCCTGACCTGTTTAGTGGAATAAGCAACATTGAATGATAAATGACAAGGAAAAAAGCTTACAAAAGAGTAAGGAGATGATATGGCATGAGAATAATGCAGGAGTGGCCGACTATCTTTGGGTGAAGATTAGGCTTCTTTGAGGAAATGCATTTGTGATGCAACCCCCGAAGGTGAGGATGAGTTAGCTGGGAGGGGAAGAGTGATCTAGTCCAAGGGAAGTATGGGAATGAAAGAGCAAGGACTATACATGGAGTTGAAAGGGCACAATGCCTGGGACAGAGACAGAGATGAGAAGAGAGACAGGGGGAATTCATGAATTGGGCATCAGGAAAAGCCTCCTGGTCCCCTGTAAGCCTTGCCTACATTGGAGCAACAAGGTGGTGGTGGCCTCGTTGCCTGACGCAGGAGGACTGGAGAAGGAAATGTCTGCAAGAGGTAAGATAGTCATTCAGTTGAGGATGCATTAGGCTTGGGAGGAGATGTTTAAGAAGCACCATGAGCATTTAGGGCTCAGGAGAGCTGCCTGTACTATCACCTGTCATCTGTGTGAATGGAGTGGGAAGGGAACTGAAGATGGAAAGGATGCTTTCTGAAGGTAATAATAATTATGAGACAGTGCTTTAGCTTATTGCCAGTAAAATAAGCTTACCAATTTTAAAAGGGAGAAACCGTTTCTGTTTGCTGACCAGACTGGCAGCATTTACAGTCACTAAGTGGGAGCTGGAAAGAATCCCGCAGCTCGTCTAATTCCACCCTTTAATTTCAAAAATAAAGAGATTGAAGCCGAGAGAGACAGTCAGGAGGACCAAAACCCAAACCTTCTGACGTCTGCTACTTTGCTGTTTCTACTACAGTTTTGTGGAAAGGGAGAGAGGGAGACAGGGAAAAAGAACACTTTAATGTAATAAACATTTCCATCTTTTCACTTTCCCTTTAATTTTATTTATATAGCCATGCACCTAATTTAGCTTCCAATTAATGTTGAGCTGTGGTGGATTGGTGGGAGCTGCCCGAAGCACTCTATCTGAAGCCACTTTGGTTTTCAGTGTTTAGTATGAGTAAGGCATGTATCTAATGTCCAAACCAGTCCAATGGAGAGTGAAATGGTGGTTATTCCTCATGCAGAGACAGCAGGCATGAACCAGAACTGTCCCCAGCAAACTAGAACCCGTGGTCTCCCTAACCACGAGGACTATAGGAAGAAAATGCAGCATGGGAGCCATTTTGCAATTCCTGGTTTATATGGTTTTCCTATCGAAGTTAGAATTTGTTAAGATTTTGATACAGAAAAAAAGGGGGGGAAAGCTGAGGAAAAATTGATTCCAACTGCGGCAAGGTTTTCAAATTTTTTACTATTGTCTTCTTCATGGAGATGTATTAATTATTCATCTTGAATTTTAATAATGATTTTTTGTGTGTGTTCCAAAAAAAGGAATTAAAATAATTACTTTGTATAAGTCTACCTTGATCCAAAATAAGTATTTCAAAATAGGAAACATGTAAATGTCAATTTAATGCAAAGCTCTTTCTCCTTTAAGTCAATCCTCTTCCTCTGAAATAAAATCTTCTGTAAAGGTAATAGTATTTGTCTCTCCTTGTGATGAGCATTTTTAGAGTTTTAGAAATTTCTTTGACACTGGAAGGAAATTTTCTTTTCTTGGTAAAAACTAAATAATCAGTAGAGAATAGTGCTTCCAAAACAATTTTAAATGCCAGACCGTATTTCAAACAACCGTCTAATTTGAGTTAAGTACATTTGGGAAATATAGTTATCACCAATGTTGACAGAAAACTTAATATTGGTGATCACGACAGGCATAGATCAAGCACTGATGAATATGCCTTTGATGGAGTTTTCTCACGATCTTCTTCATGTGCAGGTGATGACAGCTCTTTCTTCCGTGGTGTTTACCTGTACATCAATACTACAGGCATCTCAAAAGACGTTACAAGTATTGAAGATCTTTATGCCTCTGCCTGTGGGATTTCTTTAGGGAACTGACATATTGCTAAAGAATAGACTCAACATCCATTACTAGCTTTCATTCAAATCTCTGTACCTCACAGAAAATTTCACTGAAAACAATGATCGTATACCTTGTATATCAGAGAGATGTTCATGTTATGGGAAATGTGGAATAAGTTCTGGAATATAGTGCATATGAAAACCAGTGAGTTTTAGGAAAATATTTAAATGTGGAGAAATGCAAATTATACTCAAATGTGGGCTTCATCAGTGTGAGGAGCTAAGGTTGCTAGGGTATTGAAAGTTAATACTCTATGAAATGCATCTTAAGCAGAAGCCTTAAATTAAAAATCTACACAAATCAAACTAAGTGTCATTATTGAAAAGCATTTTGTTCATATACCATGAGTTCTTTATATGAATGATTTGCATGTATCAGATCTTTTTTTTATTCCAGACATTTTGTCCTGGAAAATATGAACTTGTTTATGGAAATTTTGCCCTTTAAATGTTGCAGCTTTAAAATACGGCTGCTCCCTGTTCTATAGTTTAAAAATGGCTTAGATTCAGTAGTTTATTTGTAAATATTATCAATACATGCCTATTTTATGTATTTAGTAGGTGGATATCTGAACTCATTCATAAGGAAAAATTGAAATTAAACAATTTTTCTTTCAATTGGGCATTTCTAATATTTTTTACATGATCTGAAAATTAATTCCTAGGATCATTTGAAAAGACTTCTGGGTAAGGGGAAGGGAAGAGAGTAGAAAAATGCTTCCTACACATTTAGCCATTAGATTTTAGTCCTCAGCAGGCAGGTTTTTCTGGTGTGACTTCATCAAGCATAACTTAATAGAGAAAAGGATGATTTCATTTATTTTAATCTACAACCTCAAATAACATAAAGACCTATGAAGTATGCGTGACTCTTTCTTAAGACTCTTAAGAAAGATTCACACATAAAAAGAGCTACATTATTTTATATATATTATTTCTTAAAAAATGCGTTTACACTTGAAATAGACTCATAAATACTATGGAAGCTATAAAACATATTTTGAAAGCAAGTCCTAAAGTCTTCAGGGTACGTCTGTCCTCATAGCAAACTAGTGATTTGAGAGTTCCCTCTATCTTTCAGAATTTATGTAGCTGAATCTTAAGGACCAGACTTATGACACTTATGACACTGCCATCTTCAAGGTATTTGCCATATAATTTCAGTGACTGAAATCTCATATGCCTTGAAAACCTAAGAGCTGTGATATTGCAACAAAAGGACAACCAAGTGACATTTCCTGCAAATTTTGAGAGTTATACATACGCCTCTCAAATAAATTGAAACTGCAATTTGGGTATGTAACCACCAGATGTCACTGTCTTGTGATTTTTAAGTCATAGGCATATATTAATACTTACATAAAGTCATATACCAATTTTACACTTTTCCTATTGAATAAATTATAACTCTTTATACAGAAACAATAAAAAGACTACATTAATGTTTGGTTTTGAAACTCAAACTTCAGCCAAGTTGTCTTAATTCACATACATACCTGCTAAGTAGTGGATATCTCTCATTTCAAAAGCATGCATTTCTGCAAAACTGGATTATCATAATCGTGTTTAGGACTCTTTAGGTTGCATCTTAAAGAAGCCCAACCTAGCCTAAGCACAAAACAGGAAATCCATTGGCACACATACAGAAGCCCAGTGGTGTACTGCCTTCAGGCATGGCCTATTCCAGAGGCTATAATCCATTTTATCACAATGCATCACTCAGTAGGCTCTCCACCAAATAGCACATGATATGGCCCTGCAGCTGAAGACCCACATTCTACAACCTCAGTAGAGACAGGCCATTCCGAGACATTCCATGTCTCTGCTCTTTTCAGGTTCTGTAACCACAGTAGAGATAGGCCATTTTCCCCAATAGCTGGCAGAAATGAGCTGAAATAAGTTTTGATTAGCCAGTCTTGGGTTTCATAAACCTTCAGGATCCAGTCATTATGGACAGGGGCATGGCATACTTGGATTAGCCAGAATCAGGGGCCCACTGCTTGGCTGTGGCAGTGGCTAGGCCATCAGCCTGACTTAACAATATGGGATGGATCTCCACAGGAAGCATGGCACCATTAGTACAGCACAGGGAGATGGAAGCTGGGTGGGCATATCAAATTATTGGACTGTCATTCCATGTCTCTGCTCTTCTCAGGAGCAAGCAGTCATGTCCATGGCTGCCAGAGTGACCCCTCTAGAACAAAATCTCGAAATGCTACTCTTCTCTCAAGAGGGCAAGATGCAGTACAAACTGTGTAGTATACACGACTCCTCTTGACCTAACTTCTTCCTTTTCCTGCTTTAGTCTCATCTCCCATCACTGCTGAATCCAACCACATGAACTCTTTGCAATTCTAACAAATGATCATACTCTTTCAGGTACTACTTTCCACTTCACAAGCCTTACTCTTTCTCATAACAAAGGCTTTTCCCAAGTTATTTCCGTCTGGAAGTCCTTCCATACCGTTGTCTTTATGCATCATTTAAAAATCATCCTTGGCCAGGCGCGGGGGCTCATGCCTGTAATCCCAGCACTTTGGGAGGCCGACGTGGGCGAATCAAGAGGTCAGGAGATCGAGACCATCCTGGCTAACACGGTGAAACCTCATCTCTACTAAAAATACAAAAAATTAGCCAGGCGTGGTGGAGGGCACCTGTAGTCCCAGCTACTTGGGAGGCTGAGGCAGGAGAATGGCGTGAACCCAGGAGGCGGAGCTTGCAGTGAGCCAAGATCGCGCCACTGCACTCCAGCCTGGGTGACAGAGCGAGACTCCATCTCAAAAAAAAAAAAAAAAAAAAAATCATCCTTAAGCATTTCTTTCTTGAAATTTCCTTGTCCCCACTTCCTACCCCTTCCCAGACAGATTTAGATATGTATTTTCTACATGTCCACAGTATCTGGCACACGAGTATCATTAGCATTTGTCACACTGCATTATAATATTTGATGGTGGGGTTATTGGCCATTAAACAGAACTTCTTAAGAGTAAGGGCCATGAATTATCTGAATTATCCTCCATGAATTATCCCCCAATACCTGGTACAGTGATTGGCACATGATGGGGATTGAATGAATGGTTGATGAATGAAGGAAGGAATGCATGAACAAATTAGTAGATTTGAATCGGTTTTACACTAGAATAATTTCCTCTTTGCTCTCTGCAAACACGTATATGAAGAAGCACTTGAGTGTCAGTATGTATAGTGTTAAAATCAGTGTAAGCTTTAGAGCTAGAATGCCTGGGCTCAGATTCTTGCGTCTTCACTTACCAGTTGTGTAACTGTGGGCAAAGCACCTAACCTTCTGTGCCTCTGTTTTCTCATATGTAAAAAGATAGTGGTAATAGTTTCCACTTTGCTAAGTGTTTACTTCTTTAATCTTCACCAACTCTGTCATAAACATAATTATTCTTATTTCTTAGGTAAGTGAACTGAGACTCAGAATGCTTAAATAACTTCCTCAAGGTCACACGGGTTCTAAAATGGGGAGCTACTATTCTAATTAAAGATTATCTGATGCTAAAGCCCTCACAGTTTCAGCTGCACTGAGATTTCACAATTGGTTCTTACTGGCTGGAAGAAGGATACAGGGAAATATTTTCCTTCCCTTAGCTAATTTTTGTCCTAATGATTACTTTCTGTATAAGATTGTAACATGAACCATGTAGCTTTGAGATATTGCTATAATTGTGCTCACTACTGCTAAGCTGTATTGTTTATACCTTCAGATAGTTGAACATAGATAGTTGAGAAATAAATGCCAACATTTTCATTTGAATTGAAAAAAAACCACAAAAACCATTATATTAAACCTTTCTATTTGTGTAGATATTAGCAATTTTCCCCAAAACAAAACAAGATACATTCAAATTGTAAATAGCTCAAAATGGCAGAAGTTTATTCAGGATGAATTTGTTCAGGATGTAGTTAAATGGATTCTCTTCTCCATTCTTGTGTGTCAGATTACCTAAATAGAGGCAGTGGGGTCTCCAAAACTCTAAGAGGGCAACATGGAAGCAGTAGCAGTTCATTGCCCATAATTTTCTCTGCAGATTAGTTCAGAGAGCCCACTTAGAAAGGAGGAAAAATGAATCAAACCAAAAGTTAAAGCAACTTTCTCACCTTCCGGCTCTCCACAGATGCTGCTGGCTACAGTGATTCTGAGGATTATATATAACTCATTTACCATCCCAAAGTCATGAAAGTAGACTTTGTATTAAAGGACAATTGAACAAACTCTGGTATACTAAGAAGCATTAGGAGAATATTAGACAATTGTTGAGTAGGATATTTGATATATGTTCTAAGTCATGATGCGCATCTGCATCGATATCAATTTGTTTTCATTAACTTAGACAATTAAAATCAAGAACTAAGTTATTTTAAGCAAACAGCTTCATTTTACATTCATTTATTTCTGCTTTGCATGAAGCACAGCTGCATTATAATGTGATCAAGCACAATAAATTGTGCTCTGTTGTTTATAGATGGAAGATTGTACCACTCAGGTACATGTACAATTTTACCACAAGTGTTTTGAAAGTACAAGTGTGTGAGATTTTCTTCTCTTCTGAAAATAATTCTTACTCAGACTTTAGAAACTATGGATTTTCTACCTCCTATTACCAAAAATAAATGCAATGTTCTGGGCCAATGGCCTGAAGTTACTTAACTGAAGTTATTTAATTGGTAGTATCTTTTCCAATGTTTTTGAAAAATATATTGAGTGAAATAGCTACTGCATTTAGGATACTTACAGAATATAGATATGGATATATAGATAGATATGCAGTGAACAACTTTGTAGGTCTCCCCTGGGGCACATGCATGACAATTCTCTAGGTTTATAACCAGAAGTAGAGGGTCTGTGTTATAGTAAATGCCCATCTTTAGATTTACTTGTTACTGGCAAATTGCTCTCTACCCAAATTCAGGATAATTCATTCAAAGAGGGTTTATTTACAAAGATTTTCAAAGGTGTAGGGAGAGGGTAAACCAAGTGATAATGCTGTGACCTAGGGCTAGTGGCAGCTGAGCTTTGGACACTGCTAGGCCCAAAAGGATGATAGGAGGGAAAGATTCCTTAACTCTGAAAGTCCTGTAGAAAAAGTTGCCTTCAGAAGAGAAGTAACCTATAATTGAGAAAACCTGGCAGAGAGGGAGCCTGGGAAACAAATTCCTCTTTCCAGTCTCTCCTCTCTACTTCCGCTCTTCTGCCAAAGTCCCTCACTGGCCAAACAAAATGGTGGCCAGAAGACACTGGGGTCCATTGGTGTTGACCATACAGGTTACTTTCTCATAGCAGAGAGCACAGAGGATCTGGAAAGGAAAACTGAGTATGTCCAGCCACAAGGTCAATCCAAGTTGTTAGAAGTATATTTTGTCTGTTGCTAATGCCTGCTATAGAGTAGTACTCCCTAGTATATTTCCATCATTTAAAAAAATCTATCCTGTTTCCTTGTGATCAACTTCCAGGTTGCCTCCAATTCCCTTCTGCCACTAATAGTGCTGTAAGGCACTTTTTTTGTATATGCTCTCTTATGAACTTGAAGTCTTCTTAGGGGTCTAAATCCAGTAGCAGAATCAACTGGTCTTCGGGTGCATGTGTATGCTTAACTTGAATGAGGGTCCTCTACCCTCCCAGAAGCAGTGCACAAGTATTGCGGTATCACCACATCCTTGCCAGCATGTAGCAGCTTTGTAACTTCTGCCACTGTAGTAAGTGTAAGTGAAGTTTCCTGTATACACTATGATACATTCATGTAAATGTTAAACACATAAGTCACATATTATATTCTTTTTTTTTTTTTTTTTGAGATGGAGTCTTACTCTATCACCCAGGCTGGAGTGCAGTGGCGCAATCTCAGCTCAGTGCAACCTCTGACTTCCTGGTTCAAGCAATTCTCCTGCCTCAGCCTCCCAAGTAGCTGGGATTACAGGCACGTGCCACCACATTCATCTAATTTTTGTCTTTTTAGTAGAGATGGGGTTTCACAATGTTGGCCGGGATGCTCTTGATCTCCTGACCTCATGATCTGCCTGCCTCGGCTTCCCAAAGTGCTGGGATTACAGGCATGAGCCACTGCACCCGGCCCACACATTATATTCTTATAAATACATGTGTAGTAAAATCCAAAACAAACAAACAAAAAAAAAAAAAACAAAATTGGATTGGAAAGCTACCATTGGGGATAAGCTCAAAGGATATTTCGACTTCATATAAAATTTTATGTATATAAAATGTTTAAAGAAGTATGGCAAAATATCAACATTTATGCCTATTGTTCCAATGTAAGCCTTTAGGCTTATTTGTGTGTTCACATTATGATTTTTACAACTTCACTGAAGTATAAATGAAATACGGTAAATCACACTAATTCAAGGTGTACAATCTGCTAAATGTTGGCCTCTGTATACACCCATGAACCATCTCAGGAAGCACGATAATCAACATCCCATGGTCCCAAGCCTTTCCTCTGTCCCCAGGTAACCACTGACCTAGCTTTCTACATAGAGGTAATCATACAACATGTACTGTGTTTGTGGGGGACGTATGTGGCTGCTGTTACTAAGCGTATGCCTTTGATGTTCATTCTTGTTGCCTGTATCAATAGTTCATTCTTTTTTATTGCTGAGTAGTGTTTTATTGTATAGAAATAGCATGATTTCTCTATTCACTTGTCAGTAGGCATTTGAGCTGTTTCCAGTTTCAGGGATCTTAAACATAAAGCTACTAAAAGCATTCATGTACAATTTTTTGTTGGGACACATGTTTTCATTTCTCTTGGGGAAATACTTAGGAGTATAACGGCTGAGTTGCGTGGAAAGTGCTATTTATTTACCTTTCTAAGACATTGTCAAGTAAATTTCCAAGCCTGTTATATCACTTTATATTTCCACTAGCAGCGTTTGAGAGTCTCAGTTTCTCTACATCCTCACCAACCACTTGGTATAGTCAATCCTTTTAATTTCAGCCAGTCTAATGGATACACAGTGACTGAGCATGTCCTTGATGACTAACAATATTGAGCATATTTTGTGTACTTTTTAATGTGCTTCTATATCTTCTTTTTATGTACTTTTTAGTGTGCTTATATATCTTCTTTTGTGAAGTGTCTGCTCAAATATTTTGTCCATTTTTATTAGGTTAATTGTTTTATTGTTAAGTTGTAAGCATTCTTTATATATTTTATAAACATGCTTTGTCTATGTGTTTCAAATAATTTTTCTCAGTCAGTGGTTAGCTTTTCCATTTTCTTAAGGCTCTGCAAAAGAGAAAATGTATTTAATTTTGATGAAATCCAGCTTATCATTTTTTTCTTTTATGGTTTTACTTTTGGTATGCTAATCTAATAAATGTTTGCCTCCTCCAAGATCTCCTATGCTTTGTTTGTCACAGGTTTTATATTTTAGGGTTTACATCTAGTCCTATGATCAATTTTTAGTTAGTTTGTGTATGTGTTATGAGGTATAAATTGTCTATTTTTTTCCATACAGATATAAGTTGATTCAGTATCATTTGTTAGAAAGATTATTCTTTCCCCATCAATTGCTTTGATAATTTGTCAAAAATAAATTGACCGTATACATATGGAATAGAATAGACGGTCCAGAAGTAGACTGAACAGTCTGAGCTGTACTTCTTTATCTTTTGCCAACCTCAAACTGCAACTTTATAGCCAGTCCTGAAATCAGGTAGCGTACATAAGGTCTCAAAGTTTTGTACTTTTTTGTTTTTTTTTTTTTTTTTTTTTTAGTTGTTTGGGCTTTCCTAAGCCCTTTGCATTGACTATAAATTTAAAAAATCAACTTGCCCATTTTTACCAAAAAAAAAAAAACCTGCTGGAATTTTGTTTAGGATTGCATTGAATCTATAGATCAACCTGGGGAGAATTACCAGTTCCAATCCATGATTCTGGCATATCTTTCAATTACTTAGGTCCTTAGTTTCTCTCAGCAATGTTTTGTAATTTTTTAGTGCAGAGTCATAAATACCTTTTATTAGATTTCTTCCTATTTTATAACTTGACATTAATGTAAATGAAATGTTTTAAGAATTCTATTTTTCAATATTTTCAGCTAGTATATAAGAATATAAATAATTTTGTAAAAATCTTGCATCTTGCAGATTATATATTATTTCTAGTTGTAATTCTATAGATTCCTTGAGATTTTTGTATAAACAATAAAATATCTGAGATAGGAACAGTTTTACTTCATCCTTTCTGATCCTTTTGCCTTATATTTAACTTTTTTTAACTTTAGTAAAATGTTTAATAGACTTGATGAAAGAGTGAATCTTCTTCACCTTGTCCTCCATCTCAAGGGAAAGTAATTCAGTTTTTCACCATTAAGTATGATATTGGCTATGAGTTTTTCATAAATAACCATTATCTACTTGAGGAATTTCTTACTATTCCTAATTTGCTAGCTTTTTAAAAATTATGAATGAGCATTAATTTTGTCAAATTATTTTTCTGCCAATATTAAAATAATCTTTTTTTTTTTAGACCAGGGGTAGGCAAACTTTTTTTAAAGGCCAGAATAAATATGTTCAGGTTTGCAACCTAGGAGGCAAATTCAAGGATATTATGTAGGTATTTATATAACCATTTAAAATGTAACCATTTAGAAATACAAAATTATTCCTAGCTTGTAAGCATAATAAAAAACACCAGGAGCCTGGCCATTTTTGGTCTATAGACTACAGCTTGACAGTGTCTGTTTTGTACTATTAATACCTATTGTGATATTTTTATATAGTTGGATTTAGATCTGTCATTTTATTATGCGTTTTCTCTTTGTACCATGTTTTTGTTGCTCTGTTCCTCTCTCTGTCTCTCTTTCCTGCCTTTTTAGGATTATTTGAATATGTTTGTATTGCATGTGAATGTATCTCTTAGCTATCAGCTATTCTTTTGTATTGTTTTTGTGGTTGCTTTATGTATTACAATATATATACCTAACCTTTCACAGTCTACTTGGAGTTATTATTGTACCACTTGACATCTAATGTAGAAACCTTGGAACCATAGAGGTCTCTTTGCCACCTCCTACCTTTATTTTATAGTTGTGATATGGGCTATATCTGTATTCATTGAAAACTTCACAGACACTGGTATAATTTTAGTGCTAATGAGCTATACATATTTAAAGAACTTAAGAGGAAAGCACAGTTTTTACATTACCCAGATAGGAATCATTTCTATTGCTTATCCTTCATCTTGAAGTTACAGGTTTCCTCTTGTATCATTTTTCTTCCATCTGCAGAACTTCCTTCAGCATTTCTGGTAGAGCAGGTATAAGATAATGAATTTTCTTAATTTTTTTTAAATCTGGAAATGTCATTTTGACTTCATTCTTGAAGGATATTTTCATTGAACATAGAATTCTAAGTTGACAGTTCTTATCCTTGAGCACTCTAAAGATGCTATTCTACTGTCTTATGACCTTCATAGTTTCTGGTGAGAAATTTGTGATAATTTGAATCATTGTTTCTATGGATGTAAGGTATTTTTTCCTAGCTGTTTTAAGTATTTCTTCTTTATTATTGGCTTTCAACAGTTGGACTATGATGTGTTTGGTCATGGTTTCTTTGAAGTTATCCTCTGTGTGATATGTTGAGATTCTAGAATCTATGACTTCTACTAAATTTGGAAAGTTTTTGTCCCTTATTTCTTCAAATATATTTTCTGTTTTAATCTTTTTCTCCTTCCCTTCTGGAACCTAAAGCTCACATTTCTTATGTTATGCAGTACCTTCTGCATTTTGTTCTGTTTCCTTTTTTTCCTTAACCATCTTTCTTATGACATTATCCTATTTTATACAAGCCATGTTCTATTGTGATGCATTAAAGAGTTGAGTTTCATGAAATTTTGTGCTGCAACATACAAGTACACAAATTTCATAAATCTGTGCTGTCTCTGAGTCTACTCCAGATGCTATCTTCTCCTTGTTTGTAGTTCTTTTTTATTGGCTCCAGGTGGCATTTTTAATTGTTTCTTATCCTCAAACAAAGCAAGATCTCACAAGAGTCAGTGTCAGTCAAGAGACGCAATGATGAATGGAGCTGGCCCAGTGTCCTGTGCACAGATCTAGTGGCCACATTCTTTCTCAGATCAGCAGTGGTTAATGTGTGGCACTCCCAGCCAAACTTACGGTTTCTAGTGGTGGATACTTTCTTCTCCCCAGACTGTCCGGTCTTCTAATTTTCCCAAAAGTTGGAACATCCGGATCACATTTCTTTTTGTCTCTTCCCTAGAGTATGTTAATTTTGGAGTCTGGGCCTTGCAAGTTGTGCTGTAGCTTTGCTTCGAGTCTCACATATGCCTGAGTTCAAGGCTGGCCTCCAATTATCCATGTTATTTTGAGAAACTCGCTTAATCTGTCTTAGAGTCTTCTTTGGTAAATTCAGGCCAATAATGTCTCCATTATACAGTGAGGTAATATGAAGAAATTCTGAAATAATGCAAGTGGAGCATTTATCCTGGAGCAGTGAAGTTCACGGTAACTCAAACTGTGGCTGCTGTGGTCTCCAGCCTCAGCAATATGGCCATCCTTAGTGCATTTTGCCACCACCAATCTCTAACTCTGTCTAAAATTTTGGGAGATTTACATTCTTAGGAAGTGGTCCTGCTTCTGGGCTGGAAAATACAACACCTTCTGCAGGAAGTAGGGCTCTCAGGGTTCAGTAGGGTCAGCACTCTGGACTTCTGCCTTGTAGTCAGGGGACAGCTGTCTCCATATCCATTTTAGAGAAAAATTAGAAGAGATAGATTTGGGTTCAGGTAGCCAGATATAATTTTAAATCAGAATGCATACCCCATAGCCACATTTTTGAGCAGAGAAAGCATTATGTACATCTATCTTCTTTAGCTATCTTTGGTCTTTTTGTTTTAAAATCCAGGTTGACATCTGGCTTTTGTTAAGTGTGGCACTGCCGGAGTTCTGATTATTCATATCCTGTCCACCCACTCCTGCACATCTCCTCTGTTTGGCCTAACCTCTCTCTCTCACTATGATATTTGTTGAGCAAAAGAGCTTTGAGAGAATAAAATTTTCTGAAAAATAAGGAAAAACTGAAATATGTTTATATTTATAGGCTTTCACTCATGTCTATGTCATCATTCTTGTCATTTTTAGACTGATGTACCATTCTGTGAACAGCAAATGTGTTTACAAGGTGCAAACTGTGTGCTCATCTAACTTAGTTAAATTATCTAAAATGACCAACCTCTTCAGACATAGACAAATTATTACTTTTCCTTGTCATTTTGTTAGTAGATTCTATATAGCATTTTTAGACCACTGCAGTGTTCAAGATAATAATATTCAATAAATTATAAATCAATTTTCTCCTCGTTGTAGAAGGAAGCTAATTGTCAGAGGTAATATCTATTAAGCTTCCTGGATTAAATTCATTTAAAATGTGTTCTGTTAGAAAATGTGATAACACTTTATTTTTAGTGACCATTAGCTAATACTAAATTACAGCATAACGCCTCTGGAAGTGCATGTGACGTCCATATGAATACCAAATGAACTCATAATTATCTATACTATAATAATGAATATCAAACCAATTTATAATGATATACTGAAAATCAAATACTTCTGAAATTTTATGTTCTCATCAATTTTAAGGACGAGACATGAATCTAGCTTGTTAGAGCAATTGCTGGCAGTCAGGAAGCTGCGCTGTGCCCAGTCTGCAATTTTGTTTTCTGGTATTTCTGGCACCAGCACAATGATTCCAAAAACTGAAAAATGTAACAACAGTATGCTGGGGAGGAGCATAGGTATTCAAGAAAGGGGGTGCGTGTTTCTAGGTATGATAATGAGAGATTTTTAAAGGATAGAATGAAATGACTATCATGTTTCAAAAGAAGTTACAACACATATGTATTAGTTCATTACTAAGCAACTGAAGAATATAATACAAAATGTTCAGTTGATTAATTTGGAAAAGTATGCCACCCCAAAGCAGGCTTGGCCAATGACTTAGGAAGTAAAGTCTTCTTTTTTTATTTCAAATATAAAGTCATTTTCTAAGTTCCCCTCTTGTATTATAAAAGAGTAATTTTATTGGGTTCATAGGTTGTCTAACTTGATGTAATAATTAATAGTTATTTAATATTAACTGATTGATATTTAATAAAAATATTGTAGTGATTGGGGTGTAAGGCTGCCATTGCAAAGATGAGAGAGACTAGGGAGTGATTAGGACAAGTAACTGGGTCAGCTTGACCTAGAGGGGATGAAGCCCTACAGAAGCTCAAAAGGCAGAAAGGAGTTAGAGGTAGACCACTCCCACTACCAAAAGAAATACCATTTGGGATGAGCTTTCTAGAATATAAAGTTGTAACAAGTAGCAGTTTACGAGGCATATTTTAGACGAAGAACATAGCATGAACAAATTCATGGAGACAAAATAGTACTGTATGCTTCTAGAAAAACAATATCTTTTTGATTAAGAAAATATTTTGTGGGTTTGTAGAGTTCATGCCTGTGATTTATGGGAAGGAACTACAAAGAGACAGTATGGGATTCCCAATGTCCAGGGTCCAGATACGAAGTTGGGTGTTAATTTCCCTGGTACTGAGCAAAGGAGGGAGTGAGTGCCCCAAAAGAGAAAAGGATCAAAAGTTCTTGTTACGAATGATTTGAGCCATGCTCCAGAAAAACGTTTCTCGTAGCACCATGCAAAATGGAATAGATCTAGTTATAGAAACTAGTAGAGTTCCCAGCTAAGAGGCCAGTACAATTATTAGAGGCAAGTAGCAACCCATGGTGGCACTGGGAAGAGGAAGAAAAGATACAGATGTAACAGACAAGGGTCTGTGATATTGTCAGGCTGCGGGTTCAAAATGAGAGTCCTTCCACAAAGTACTGTTGTAGTTGAATGAATCAATATTAATTGAATGAAAGCATTGTGCTGAATTTTACTAAATTAGGTTTGTATAGAAAAATGTAACCTCATGTATATGTATTACCCTAGTGAATATGACTCATTAAAATTCATTTAAAATGATAAACATTTAAAATGTAAAATGTGTTACATGATGTAAGTAGTACAAATAGCTGTATAACAGGGTCAATATATTAAATATATATAAGATTTAAACATATAACTATTTTATTAAAATAATCTGTGAATATCTAGATCTTCTAAAAAGATGATCTCTCTGCCATGCCCAGAGCACAGTAGGTCCACTGACCCCCATGTAGTCTTGGCCAGAGCGGACTCTTCCAGTCTCAGCTCTTGATACTTTTCCCTCTTCACTCACAATCTCATCATTCCGCTTGCCAAGCATTGATCTTGGCGCATAGAAGGTGTTCACTGTTATTTACAGAATGAAGAGCTAATGGGAGGAGGAAAGGGAAAAAGCAACAAAGGAGGAAGGGAGGAAAGAAAGGAGGAAGTGAGGGAGGAAGGGAATGAGAGAGGAAGAGAGGTGCTCTGTATCTACTATCTTTAGGACCTTGCACAATTAATTAAACTCCCCGAAGCCTGAATGCTTTTGTCTGACAAAAGAAACAATAGGATTGCTATGAAAATTTAAAAAATACTGTATTATGGCATCTGCACTCTATTGGGCTGATAGCAGCAGCTGGAAGATTGCTCCCCATCGAATCACGCCACAGTTTACCATAGACACAGCACCTCCCCTCTTCCTCTGGTCTATTATGAGAACTCTGTGATGGCAGAGATTTCCATGGGACTTGAGAAGTTATGGATGGATGAGTGTAAGGGATGAAATCACTACTTTTTAGTTTTTTATTTCTAGCATTTTCCAGTGGATTTTTATTAATCCATCTGCATTCCCTTACCTGATGACTGGGTATGCAATGTGGAAAAGAATAATCTAACACTTCACTGTATAAAAATTGTAGCTTGGCCTCCTAAGTACAGTTCTCTGAGCAATCAGCTACATACCAGGTCACTATCACATACTAGTAAATAAGGCACTCTGTCACTTTCAGTAGAGTACTACTAATTTGGCTATCAAAATTGTGTTTTTAGGCAGCTGAACAGAAGGTAGAGTTCATTAGTTCATGTTTAAATTAGAGCTTGTTTTCATTCTAGATAATAGGGAGAACAAATGCTATTATTTTTAAATTCTATGGAAATGTGAAAATAAATGCTGTTCATATTATATCTGCCTAAGGCTTTCATAAAAACAGTTAATTTCCAAAATAATGTATCTATTATATTTTATGTTTATGAGGATAATTTGAAATATATATTTCTACTCAGGGACTTTTGAACTAAGCAGTGGAACAAACTGCAATAATTAGCTGAACTACAAACCAAACTTGAATGTTAATGTGTTTTTACATAAACAAACTCTTGTTACAAAATATTGCTTGAGAAACTTAGAAAATTTTTTTAACTTTGCAGCTAAATCAGCCAGCCTTGTCACGTAGACCCAGGAGAGACAGAGTGGGGAGGGAAGAGGCGGCCGGATCCTGCACAATCTCATCTCCTGCTAGAAGACCGGGGGGAGCAGTGAGGGCCGCCAGGTGGTGGGGCAGGGCAGTAGGGAAAATCCTCTTCATGATTCCCTCCAATATCTGTGGTCAGTGTAAGAAGGAAGTCAGTACTGAAAGCCTCACTATATCCTTATCCATCTTGGTTTCCTCCGGAGGCTGTCTGATTTGTTTTCTGGCTTCCTCCATTTCTCTGACCTCTGGGGGTGTTTTGCTTCCTCTTCTTGACACTTTTGTTCATCAAAATTATCCAGGGAACTTTGAAACATGGAGATGCTTGGGCTACACCGCCAGAGAGGCTGACTCTTGCTGTGGGGTAAGACCCAGGCATTGGTGTCTTTGAAAAGCTCCATGTGAAAAGTAAGCAAATTCTTCCCCCTACCCCCATTTACTTTTAGTTGACATGTAATAATTGTATACACTTATTGGATACAGAGTTATATTTCCACACGTGTATACAATGTGTAATTATTACTGAGACATGTGGGAATCCTGTTTCTTAGTCTTATTTGGGAGAAAGAAGTCTGCCAAGTGACTGATTTAGCCAAAAAAGAGAATTAATTGAAGGAAAACAGAAAGCAGAGAGTTTATTTAGAGACACAGTACACTTTGAAAGATGAGGCAGAGCGGACTGCTGAAAGCCAGAGGCCCCCCTCACCCCAAGAGTTCTGCATTGGGTTTTGATGACGTTGAACTGTTTCCTGAAGTTCGCCGCTGTCTTAAGTCTCTGCCATTTTTCCTTGTCTAGTTTTCTGGCTCCTGCCTTAAGTCCCCGCTTTTTCCACGTCTAGTCCCCACTCCAGGCTTGTGGGACCCTCCCTTACTATGAGTTGGTGCACATGTGTGGGCCGGTGTTGGATATGAATTGCACCCGGGGTCTCTTAGGAATTTCCGCCTTATCAGCATGTAGGTTAACTGCAGAGGGAGCAGTGCCTGGGGGGTCTTAAGGATTGCTCCTTCCTGCCTATGTTATTTCCCCTCCGCCTTGCTCATATCTAGCATGCCTGTTTCTGGTGGTCCCTGGATTGTGGGATCCTCCAGACCTCCCTTTCCTCAGGGGCTCCCCCTCCTGCTCATGTCTAGCTGTCTGTCTACTCTAACACAGTGATCAAACCAGAGTAATTAGCATCTCCATCATCTCAGACATTTATCATTGCCACGTGTAAGGAACATTCAAATTCTTTTACCTTTTGTAAATATAAAATAAATTATTGTGAATTCACCCTGCAGTGCAGTGGAACATATTCCTCCTATGTAGCTATAATTTGGTATCCCTTAAGCAGCCCCTCCTTATTTCCCCCCATCCCCACCAGCCTTCCCAGCCTCTAGTCACCACAATTCCACTCTCTACTTCTATGAGCTCATTTTTTTAACTCCTATGTATGAATGAGAACATGTGATATTTATCTTTCTGTGCATGACTTATTTCCCTTAGCATAATGTCCTCCAGGCTCATCCATGTTGCTGTGAATAATAGGATTTTATTCTTTTTTTATGGCTGAATAGTATCCAGCTGTGTATGTACACCACATTTTATTCATCTGCTGATGGACATTCAGGTTGATTTCATATCTTGGCTACTGTGAATATGCTGCAATAAATACAGAGATGCAGATATCTTTTCAGTATACTGATTTCCTTTCCTTTGGTTAAATACTTAGTAGTGGAATGCCGGATCATGTGGTGATTCTATTTTTAGTTTTTGAGAAGCCTCCATAATGGTTTTCATAATGGCTGTACTAATTTGCATTTCCCACATCCTTGCCAGCATTTGTTATTTTTTTACTTATTGATGATAGACATTCTAACCAGAGGGAGATATCTCACTGTGGTCTTGATTTGCATTTCCCTGATGATTAGTGATGCTGAGCATTTAAAAAATATACTTGCTGGCCATTTGTATGCCTTTTTCTTCAGGAATGTTTATTCAGATCCTTTGCCCATTCTAAAAGTCAGATGAGTTTATTTTCCTATTGATTTGTTTGAGCTCCTTGCATATTCTGGTGTTCGTCCCTTGTCAGATGAATAGTTTGTAAATATTTTCTCCTATTCTGCAGATTGTCTCTTCACTCTATTGACTGCCTCTTTAGTTTGATAAAGTCCCATTTGTCTATTTTTATTTTTGTAATCTGTACTTTTAAGGTTTTAGGCATAAAATCTTTGCTATGCCAATTTCTTAGAGCATTTTCCCTATGTTTTCTTCTAGTAGTTTTATAGTTTCAGTTTTTACATTTAAGTCTTTAATCCACTTTGAATTGGCTTTTGTATGTGGTGAGAGATAGGGGTCTAGTTTCTTTCTTCTGCATATGGATATCCAGTTTTCCCAGCACAGTTTAGTGAAGAGTGTGTCATTTCCCCAATGTATGTTCTTGGCATCTTTGTTGAAAATTAGTTGATTGTAAATACATGGGTTTATTTCTGGGCTCTCTATTATGATGTTCCATTTGTTTATGTGTCTGTTTTCACACCAATACCATGCTGTTTTGGTAACCATAGGCTTATAATATATTTTGAAGTCAGGTAGTGTGATGTCTCCAGCTTTATGGTTTTGTTTTTATTTTCTTTTGTTTTGCTCAGGATTACTTTTGGCTCTTAGGGGACTTTTTTGGTTCCATATAAATTTTATGATTGATTTTGCTAGTTCTGTGAAGAATGCCATTGGTATTTTGATAGAGATTACATTGAATATGCAGATTACTTTGATTTGTATGATCATTTTTACAACATGAATTCATCCCATTCATAAGCATGAGATATCTTTTCTTTTTTTGGGGGAGTGGGGTCTTCTTCAATTTCTTCCGCCAGTATTTTGTAGTTTTCATCATAGAGATCATTCACCTTCCTGGTTAAATTTATTCCTAATTATGTTATTTTTGTATAACTATTGTAAATAGGATTACTTTCTTGGTTTCTTTTTCAGTTAGTTTGTTTTTAAGTGTATAGAAATACTACTGTTGTTTGTATGTGGATTTGCATCCTGTGCCTTTACTGATTTCCCTTATCAGTTCTATGAATTTTTTGGTAGAGTTTTAATGTTTTTCTATATATAAGATCATGCTCTCTGTAAAGAGGAACATTTTGATTTCCTCTTTTCCAATTTGAATGTCCTTTATTTCTTTATCTTGCGTAATTGCTCTGGCTAGGACTTCCAGTACTCTATTGAATAGAGTGGTGAAAGTGGGCATCCTTGTCTTGTTCCAGCACTTAATGGAAAAGATTTCTCTTTTTTCCTTTCAGAATGATGCTAATTGTGGATCTGACACATATAGCCTTTATTGTGCTAAGGTATATTCCTACTATACCCCATTTGTTGAGAGTTTTTATTGTGAAGAGATGTAGAATTTTATTAAATGCTTTTTTTTCTGTTGTCCATTGGGATGATAATACAGTTTTTGTCCTTCATTCTGTTGATTTAATATATCACATTTATTGACTTATGGTATTGAAACATTCTTGCAAATCGATACCCTAACATCACAACTAAAAGAACTAGAGAAGCAAGAGCAAACAAATCCAAAAGCTAGCAGAAGACAAGAAATAACTAAGATCACAGTGGAACTGAAGGAGATAGAGATACGAAAAGTCCTTCAAAAAAATCAATCAATCCAGGAGCTGGGTTTTTGAAAATAATTAATAAAATAGATAGACTGCTAGCTAGACTAATAAAGAGGAAAAGAGAGAAGAATGAAATAGACACAATAAAAAATAATAAAGGAGATATCACCACTGACCCCACAGAAATACCCACAATCAGAGAACACTATAAACATCTCTATGCAAATACACTAGAAAATCTAGAAGAAATGGATAAATTCCTGGACACACATACCCTCCCAAGACTAAACCAGGAAGAAGTAGGATCCTTGAATAGACCAATAACAAGTTCTGAAATTGAGGCAGTAATAAATAGCCTACCAACCATTAAAAGTCCAGGACCAGATGGATTCACAGCCAAATTCTGCTAGAGGTACAAAGAGGAGCTGGTACCATTCCTTCTGAAAATATTCCAAACAACTGAAAAGGAGGGACTTCTCCCTAACTCATTTTATGAGGCCAGTATCATCCTGACATAAAACCCTGGCAGAGACACAACAAAAAAAGAAAACTTCAGGCCAATATCCCTGATGAACGTTACTACAAAAATCTTCAATAAAATACTGGCAAACTGAATCCAGCAGTGCATCAGAAAGCTTATCTACCACGATCAAGTGAGCTTCATGCCTGGAATGCAAGGCTGGTTCAACATAGCAAATCAGTAAACATAATCTATCACATAAACAGAACCAGTGACAAAAACTACAGTTATCTCAATAGATGCAAAGTCCTTCAATAAAATTCAACATCCTTTCATGTTAAAAACTCTCAATAAACTAGGTGTTGATAGAACGTATCTCAAAATAATAAGAGCTATTTATGACAAACTCACAGCCAATGTCATACTGAATGGACAAAAGCTGGAAGCATTCCCTTTGAAAACTGGAACAAGACAAGGATGCCTTCTCTCACCACTCCTATTCAATATAGTATTGGAAGTTCTGGCCAGGGAAAGCAAGAGAAAGAAATCAAGGTATTCAAATAGGAAGAGAGGAAATAAATTGTCTCTTTTAGCAGACGACATGATCCTCCTATATCTAGAAAACCCCACCATCTCAGCCCAAAAGTGCTAAGCTGATATGCAACTTCAGCAAAGTCTCAGGATACAAAATTAATGTGCAAAAATCACAAGAATTTCTATACACCAACAGTAGACAAGCAGAGAGCCAAATCATGAATGAACTCCCATTCACAACTGCTATGAAGAGAATAAAATACCTAGGAATACAGCTAGCAAGGGATGTGAAGGACCTCTTCAAGGAGGACTACAAGCCACTGCTCAAGAAAATAAGAGAGGACACAAACAAATGCAAATATATTCCATCCTCATGGATAGGAAGAATCAATATCATGAAAATGGCCATACTGCCCAAAGTAATTTATAGATTCAATGCTATTCTCATAAAACTACCATTGACATTCTTCAAAGTATTAGAAAAAAAACTACTTTAAAATTCATATGGAAACAAGAGCCCATATATCCAAGACAATCCTAAGCAAAAAGAACAAAGCTGGAGGCATCACACTACCTGACTTCAAACTATACTGCAAGGCTACATTAACCAAAACAACATGGCACTGGTACCAAAGCAGATGCATAGACCACTGAAACAGAATAGAGATCTCAGAAATAAGACCACACATCTACAACCATCTGATGTTCAACAAACCTGGCAAAAACAAGCCATGGGGAAAGGATTCCCTATTTAACAAGTGATGCTGTGAGAGAACTGGCTAACCATATGCGGAAAACTGAAACTGGGTCCCTTCCTTACACATTATATAAAAATTAACTCAAGATGGATTAAAGACCTAAATGTAAAACCCAAAACCACAGAAACCCTAGAAGAAAACCTAGGCAATACCATTCAGGACATAGGCATGATCAAAGGTTTTATGATGAAATCACCAAAAGCAATTGCAACAAAAGCAAAAATTAGCAAATGGAATCTAATTAAACTAAAGAGCTTCTGCACAGCAAAGGAAACTGTCATCAGAGCAAACAGGCAACCTGCAGAATGGGAGAAAATTTTTGCAATCTACCCATCTGACAAAGGTCTAATATGCGGAATTTACAAGGAACTTAAACAAATTTACAAGAAAAAACAAACAACTCCATCAAAAAGTAGACAAAGGACATGAACAGATGCTTCTCAAAAGAAGATGTTTATGCAGCCAACAAACATGCAAAAAAGCTCAACATCACTGATCATTAGAGAAATGCAAATCAAAACCATGATGAGATACCATCTCCACCGGTCAGGATGGCAATTATTAAAAAGTCAGGAAACAACAGATGCTGGCGAGGCTGTGGAGAAATAGAAACACTTTTATACTGTTGGTGGGAATGTAAATTAGTTCAACTATTGTGGAAGACAGTGTGGCTTTTCCTCAAGGACCTAGAACCAGAAGTATCATTTGACCCAGCAATCCCATTGCTGGGTATATACCCAAAGGAATATAAATAATTATATTATAAAGATACATGCAAATGTATGTTTATTGCAGTACTATTCACAATAGCAAAGACATGGAATCAACCCAAATGCGCATCAATATTAGACTGGATCAAGAAAATGTGGTACATATACACCATGGAATACTATGCAGCCATAAAAAAGAATGAGATTACTTCCTCTGCAGGGACATGGATGGAGCTGGAAGCCATCATCCTCAGTAAACTAACACAGCAACAGAAAACCAAACACCAGATATTCTCACTCATGAGTCGGAGCTGAACAATGAGAACACATGGAAATGGGGAGGGGAACAAAACACACCAGGGTCAGAGGAGGGAGAGCATCAGGGTAAATAGCTAATGCATGTGGGGCTTAATACATAGGTATTGGGTTGATACGTGCAGCAAACCACCATGGAGCATGTTTACCCATGTAACAAACCTGCACATTCTGCACATGTATCCTAGAACTTAAAATTAAAAAAAGCAAAGCAAACAAACAAACAAACAAACAAAAAAATGAAACATTCTTGGATCCCTGGGATGAATGAAACTGGATCGTGGTGTACTATCTTTTTCATGTGCTGTTGAATTTGATTTGCCAGTATTTTGTTGATGAATTTATTGATGAATTTCCCTATGTTCATTGCTAATATTGGCTTGTAGTTTCCTTTATTTGTTGTCTTTGTCTGGTTTTGGTATGAGGGTAATGCTGGCCTCATAGAATGTGTTTGGGAGAATTCTCTCCTCTTCAGTTTTTCAGAATTGAGAAAAATCTGTGTTTGGTCTTTTTTAAAAGTTCGGTAGAATTTGTCAGTAAATCCATTTGGGCTTTTTTTGAGGGGAGACTTTTTATTATGGCTTCAACCTCTTTGTTCATCATTGGTCTGTTAAGGTTTTCTAGCTCTTCTTGGCTCAATTTTGGTAGGTTATATGTGCCGAGAAATTCATCCATTTTCTCTAGGTGTTCCAATTTGTTGGCATATAGTTGTTCATAATAGTCCCTAATGATCCTTTGTATTTCTGTGGTCTCAGTTGTTATGTCTCCTTTTTCATTTCTGATTTAAATGTATGTGGGTCTTCTCTATTTTTTTCTAGTCTAGCTAATGGTTTTTTTCATAATTTTAAAATATTCTCCAAAGAAACTATTTTTAAATTTTTTGTATTGATACATAATAGATTTGCATATTTTCTGGGTACATGTGATAATTCAATACATTCATGTAATTTGTAAAGATCTAATCAGTGTGACTGTGATATCCATCACCTTAAAGATTTGTCTTTTCTTTATGCTAGAAAGATTTGAATTATTCTCTTCTTAGCTATTTTGAAATATGCAATAGATCGTTGTATGCTATAGTCACCCTACAGATCTATCAAACTCCAGGCCTTATTCTTCTATCATATTGTATATGGCTATATGTATGTATGTTTTTATTTTCTCCCCCTACTCCCCACTCTTTCCAACCTCTGGTAACAACCAATTTGTTTTCTTCTTAATAAGGTCCACTTTTTTTTTTAGCTCCTACATATAAGTGAGAATGTATGGTATTTGTCTTTCTGTGCATGGCATATATTACTTAACATAATGACCATGAGTTCCATCCATGTTGCTGCAAATGACAGGATTTCATCCTTTTTTATGCTGAATAATACTCCATTGTGTATATATGCTACATTTTCTTTATCCAGTCATCCACTGATGGTCACTTACGTTGATTCCATTGTTTGCCTATTGTGAATAGTGCTCCAATAAACATGACAATACAGATATCTCTTTAATATATTGATTCCCTTTCTTCTGGATAAATACCCAGCAGAGGAATTGCTGGATCATACGGGAGTTCTATTTTTAGTATTTTGAGGAACCTTCATACAGTTTTTCTTACTGGCTGTACTAATTTACATTCCCCCCAACAGTGTAAAGAGTTCCCCGTTCTTGACATTCCCACCGGCATCCTTAATTTCCTTTTTGGTAAAAGGCATTTAACTGGGGTAAGATGTTTCATTGTGGTTTGAATTTGCATTTCTCTGATTATACACCCATTGGCTATTTGTAAGTCTTCTTTGGAGAAATGTCTATTGGATCTTCTGCCCATTTTTAAATTGTATTATTTACTTTTTGTTATTGAGTTGAGTCCCTTATAATTCTGGTTATTAATCACTTGTCAGATAGATAGTTTGTGAATATTTTCTCCCATTCTGTGGGTTATCTCTTCACTTGGTTGATTGTTTCCTTGCTGTGCAAAAGCTTTCTAGCTTGATATAATCCCATTTGTCCATTTTTGCTTTGATCGTCTTTGCTTCTGAGGTCTTACACAAAAGATGCTTACCTAGACTCATGTCCTGGAGCATTTTCCCCAATGATCTCTCCGGGTAGTTTCACAGTTTGGGGTCTTAAATTTAAGCCTCTAATCCATTTTTATTTGATTTTTGTAGATGGTGAGAGGTAGGGGTCTAATTTCATTCTTCTGCACACACATGTCCAGTTTTCCTAGTACCATGTATTAAAGAGAGTGTTCTTTTCCCATTGTATGTTCTTGGCAACTTTTTCAAAAATGAGTTGGCTGTAAATGCATGGATTTATATCTGGGTTCTCTATTCTGTTTCATTGGTCTATGTGTCCATTTTTATGCCAGTACCATGCTCATTTGGTTGCTATAGCTTCGTAATATATATTGAATCTAGTAGTGTGATGTCTCCAGCTTTGTTTTGTTTTGGGGTATTTTCTCTGCTCAAGATTTCTTTGGGTATTTTGGGTCTTTCATGATTCCATATAATCTTCAGGATTTAAAAAAATATATATTTCTGTTAAGAATGTCATTGGTATTTTGATAAAGATTGCATTGAATTTGTATGTTGCTTTGGGTGGTAACTTTAACAAAATTAGTTATTCCAATCCATGAGCATGGAGTATCTTTTTATTTTTTTCTGGTCTCTCCAAGTCCTTTTATCAGTGTTTTATAGTTTCCCTTGTATAGATCTTTCACTCCTTGGTTAAATTGATTCCTAGATATTTTATATTCTTTGTAACTTTTGTAGATGGGATTACTTTCTTGATTTCTTTTTCAGATTGATTGCTTTTGACATATATAATTATGACTGATTTTTGTATGTTGATTTTGTATCCTGCAACTCTACTGAATTTGTTTATTAGTTCTAATGGTTTTTTTGCAGTAAATCTTTAGGCTTTTCTATATATAATATGATATCTTTGAACAAGACTAATTTGACTTCTTCCTTTCCAATTTGGATGCCCTTTGTTTATTTCTCTTACCTAATTGCTGTAGCCAGGACTTCCATTATTACATTGAATAAAAGTAGTAAAAGTGGGCATCCTTTTCTTGTTCCATATCGTAGAGGAAAGGCTTTCAATTTTCCCTGTTCAGTATTATATTAGCTGTGAGTCTTTCATATGTGGCCTTTGTTATTTTTAAGTTTATTTTTCTATACCAGTGTGTTGAAAGTTTTTATCATAAAGGAATCTTGAATTTTGTCAAATGCTTTTTCAGTATCTACATGGTTTTTTTCTTGGTACTGTTAATATGATGTATCACATTTATTGAGTTGTATATGTGGAAACCTCCTTGCATCCCTGGGATGCATGCCACTTGATCATGGTGTATTATCTTTTTGAAGTGCTTTTGGATTCAGTTTGCTAGTATTTTGTTGATAATTTTTTCATATACGTTCTTCAGTGATATGGGCCTATAGTTTTCTTTTTTTGTTGTGTCCTTGTCTGATTTTGGTATCAGAGTAATGCTAGCCTTACAGAGTTTGCAAGTATTCTTTCTTCTACAAAAAATTTTTGAAGAGTTTCTGTTTAATTGTTTTAACCAATTTTTGATTGAATTGTTTTCTTATTGATTTATGAGAGTTCTTTTTATATATCTGGATTCAACTTCTTTATCAGATGTATGCTTTGCAAATATTTTCTTCCAGCACACAAGTTGTCTTTTTGTTCTCTTAACAGTGCCTTTCAAAGAAAAGATATTTTTAAAATGTTTACGAGGTCCAGTTTTATCAATTTATTCTTTCATGGATCATGCTTTTGATGTCATATATAAAAAAAAATTTGCCTAACCCAAGGTCACAAAATTTTTTCCTAGGTTTTCTTCTAGAAGTTTTATAGTTTTATGTTTTACATTTAGGTCCATGATAGTTTGAGTTAAATTTTGTTTATGCCATGAGATATGGATCAATTTTTGCAGTTGATATGATATGCAGTTGTTTCAGCACCATTTGTTGAAAAGATTATCCTTCTTCCATTGGATTGCCTTTGTACTTTTGTGAAAAATCAGTTGTCTCCAAGGATATACAGAAAGCAAATAAACATATGCCAAATACCACATGATTAGTTCATTAGGAATGAAAATTAAAATAACAGTGATACCACTACACACCTATTAGAGTGGCTACAATGAAAAAGACTTATTATGTCATGTGTTGGTGAGGATGTAGAGGAATTGGAGCATTCATCCACTGTTGATGGGAATGTAAAATGGTACAACCAATTTAGAGAACAGTTTGCCAGTTTCTCAAAAAGTCAAAGATACAAATGCCATATGTAGAGCCATTTCACTTCTAGGCATTTATCCAGAAGGAAAGAAAATGTATGTTCATACAATGACTTCGACATGAATGTTGATAAGGGCTTTATATGTAAATACCCTAAACTGGAAATAACCCAAATGTTCACCTACAGTTCTTGGGTAAGCAAATGATGATGTACGCATACTACAGACTACTACTACTCAGCAATAAAAAGAAATGAATTACTGACACACTTAACAGCATGGATGCATCTAAAAAAAGTAATGTTGAATAAAAGAAACCAAACAAAAAGGAGTACGTACTTTATGTTTCCATTTATATAAAACTCTAGAAAATATACGTTTATTACATTTATAGTGACAGAAAGCATGGGGTGGGAGAGGTAAGAGAGGAATCGTAAAGAAGCATGAGAAAACTTTTGGGGTTGATGGGTATGTTCTTCACTGAAGTGATAGTGTTTCATGGGTGTACACATCTGTCAAAACTTATCAAATTGTATACTTTAATAGTACATTTTTCAATATTAATTTTACTTCAATAAAGCTTCTAAAAACACACAATTTTTTTTTGAAGAGTTTGAGTATAATTGGTTTTAGTTCTTTAAACATTTGGTAGAATTTAGCAGTGAAGCAACTGGGTCCTGGGCTTTTCCTTGATAGGAGACTTTTCATTATAGCTTCAATTTTGTTACTTACTATTGGTTTCTTGAAATTTTCCATTTCTTCATGGTTTAATCTTAGTAGATTTTATGTGTCCAGAAGCTTATCATTTTTTTCTAGGTTTCTAATTTGTAGTTGTATAGTTGTTTATAATAATCTCTAATTATTTGTATGTCTCTGATCATATTTGTTAAGTGTCCTTTTCATTTCTAATTTTACTTATTTGGCTCTTCTCTCTTTTTTTCTTTGTCTAGCTAAAGGTTTGCCAATTTTGCTTATCTTTAAAAAACAGCCTTTTACATCTTCAGATTTCTAAAATATTTTTGTCTTTGTTTATTTCTGCTCTCATCTTTATAAACGTTCTAAAAATTTTGGGTTTAGCTTTTTTTTTCTTGCTTTTCTAATTCTCTGAGATACATCATTAGGTTGTTTATTTGAATTCTACTTTTGATTTAGGTGTTTATTGCTGTAAACTTTCCTCTGTGTACAGAGTTTCCTGTATCTCATATGATTTGGTATATGTTTAGTGTTTTTATTTTCACTAGTTTCAAGACTTTTTAATATTTACTTCTTAATTTCTTCATAGACCCATTTGTCATTCAGAAGCATGTTGTTTACTCTCCGTACATTTGTATTTTCAAAGTTCTTATTATTTCTGGTTTTATTACATTGTGATGTGAGAAAACAATAGGACTTTCATTTCTTGAAATGTGTTGAGACTTGTTTTGTGGCCTAATATATGGTTTATCCTGGAGAATGTTTCATGTGCTGATGAGAAGAATGTGTATATTACAGTTGATGAAATGTCTTGTCTCTTAGGTACATTTGCTCTGTAGTGCAGTTTAAGTCCAGTGTTTCTTGGTGAATTTTCTGTCTAGATGATTTTTCCAAACCTAAAAGTGGGGTATTGAAGTCCCCAGCTTTTATTGTACTGAGGTTTATCTGTCTCTCTTTAGCTAATATTTGCATTACATTTGTGGGTGTTTTGGTGTTGTGAGCATAAATATTTACAATTGTTAGATTATCTTGCTAAATTTATCATTTTATCAGTATATAATGACTTTCTGTATCTTTTTTTTTTTTTTTTTTTTTTTACTTAAAGTCTGTTTTGTTTGATATAATTACACTACTCCTGCACACTCTTGGTTTCCATTTGTGTGGAATATTTTCTTCCATTTGTCTTAGTCCATTTAGAGTTGCTTTAAAGAAATATCCAAGGCTGGGTAATTTTGGGGAAAAAAAAGGTTCGTTTAGTTCATGGTTCTACTAGAAAGTTCAGGATTGGATTTCTGGCAAGGGCCTCAGGCTACTTTCATCATGGTGGAAGGCAAAGGTGAACATGTGTGTGCAGAGATTACATAGTGAGAGGGGAAACAAGAGAGAGGGAAGGGAGGTGCTAAGCTGTTTTTAACAACCAGCCTTCACATAAACGAATAAGAATGAGAACTCACAACTGGGCGCGGTGGCTCACGCCTGTAATCCCAGCAGTTTGGGAGGCTGAGGTGGGCAGATTACCTGATGTCAGGAGTTCAAGACCAGCCTGGCTAACATGGTGAAACCCAGTCTCTACTAAAAATACAAAAGATAGCCAGGCATGGTGGCACACTCCTGTAATCGCAGCTACTCGGGGGGCTGAGGCAGGAGAATTGCTTGAGCTGGGAGGCGGAGGTTGCAGTGAGCCGAGATCATGCCACTGCACTCCAGCCTGGCCAACACAGCGAGACTGTCTCAAAAAAAAAAAATAAATAAATGAAAAAAAGAGAATGAGAACTCACTTCCCTGGTTGGGAGGGCGGGCGTTAAACTCTTCATGAGGGATCTGCACCCATGGCTCAAACACCTTCCATTAGGCCCCACCTTTAAAATTGGGGATCAAATTTATACTTGAGGTTCAGGGTGACAAATATCCAAACTATAGCACCAGCCCTTCTCTTTCAGAAAGTCTGTTTCCTTGTAGGTGAAATTTCTTTTCAGCAGGATATAGTTGTTTCACTGTGTTTGTTTTGTTTTATTTATCATGTAGCCAGTCTATATCTTTTAGGTGGGGAATTTAAACCCTTTACATTCAAAGTTGTTATTGTATTCATTTTGCTAATTGTTTTCTGATTATTTTGTATATCCTTTGTTTCTTTCTTCCTCTTTTATTGTTTATCTTTTCAGTCTTGTGGTTTTCTGTAGTGTTAATGTTTGGCTCCTATCTCTTTCTCATTTGTGTATTGTGGCAGAATATGAAACTCTGCCAATGAGTTTTATATTTTCATGTGTTTTCATGATGGTAGATATCATCCTTTCACTCACACATGCAGGGTTCCCTTAAACATTTCTTGTAGCACTAGTCTAGTGGTGATGAATTTCCCTCAGTTTTTGCTTGTCTGGGAAAGATTTTATTTTTCATTTATTTATGAAGGATAGCTTTGCTGGGTATAACATTCTTGGCTGATAGTTGTTGTTTTTTCTTTCAGTACTTTGAAGATATCATCCTGTTCTCTCCAGGCCTGTATGGTTTCTGTTGAGAAATCTGCTATTAGTCTGATGGGGATTCTCTTGTATGTGATTGGATGCTTTTCTCTTGCTGTTTTCATAATTTTCTCATTGTCTTTGACTTTTGATAGTTTAACTATAACTTGCCTTAGAGAGGACCGTTTTGGGTTGAATCTATTTGGGGATTTGAACTTCCTGTATCTATATGTCTAAATATCTTTCTAGACTTGGGAAATTTTCAGCTATTATTTCGTTAAATAAATTATCTAGGACTTTTTCTATTTATTGTTCTTCTGGAACTCCCAAAATGCAAAACTTTTTTCACTTCGTGGTGTAGTGATGTCCCATGTGTCGGATAGGCTCTCTTCATTCTGTTTTATTCTTTTTTTTTTTTTTTTTGACTACGTAATTTTAAAGACCTGTCTTTGAGTTGAGAAATTCTTTTTATTCCTGCTTGATGTAGTCTGTTGTTGAAGTTCTCAATTGTATTTTTTTTTATTTCCCTCATTATATGTTTCAGTTACAAGATTTTTGTTTGGTTCTTTTATATGCTATTTCTTTTTTAAAATTTCTCATTTGGATAATGAATTATTTTCCTGATTTATTTCTTCTGTAACCTGTTGAGTTTTCTTAAGATCATTATTTTGGATTTCTTTTCAGGCATTTCATAGATTTTCTTTTCTTTTCACTGTTACTGGAGAATTATTGTGTTCCTTTGGAAGTGTCATGTTTTCTTGTTTTTCATGTTTCTTGTGAACAGGAACATTTCTTTCTGAGAAATTAGAGATCATTGAAAATTGCAAGATAGTATAACTTAATGTTTGTTATCATATATTGAATATTACCAAATTTAAACTTCAAGTTCAAAGACTACTGGGAGCAAAATGAAACATACTTCAACATTACTGTTCTTCAAAATCAAGCCATCACCAGTGCTGTATTAGTCTATTTTCATGCTGCTGATGAAGACATACCCAAGACTGGGCAATTTACAAAAGAAAGAGGTTTAATGGACTTACAGCTCCACATGCCTAGGAAAGCCTCACAATCATGGCAGAAGGCAAAAGGCACTTCTTACATGACAGCTGCAAGAGAGAGAATGAGAGTCAAGCTAAAGGGGTTTCCCCTTATAAAACCATCAGATCTTGTGAGACTTATTCACTACCATGAAAACAGTATGAGGGAAACCACCCCCATGATTCAATTGTCTCCCATCAGGTCCCTCCCACAACACATGGGAATCATGGGAGCTACAATTCAAGATGAGATCTGGGTGGGGACACAGCGAAACTCTATCGAGTGCTCACACATGCAGAAGAATTGCATAGACTTGCCATAAGTAGAATCTCAAGCTCAATTTTGTTTATAAATGTATTAACTTAAACAATCTTTGCTATTCACTCAACATGATATGTTTTTGGTAAGGCTTAGTGTGTCTCAAAGCTATTAATATAGTGATATAGCCAATTCCATTGAGCAAGCATTGCCTTGCAGTGCCTAAAAATATACTCAGAATTGGTAGTGAGAGGACATTCTGATACTGAATCTTGCCAAACACACTATATTGCAGAAAATGTTACTATATTATCCAAAAGGTAAATGATCCCTTGCCAATTTATTGTTTCCATTATAATTTTATATTTTAATTACTTAATATTATATATTGCTTTGTTAAGCATGCATTCTAAATATTGCTTCTGTTGTTAATAGACTGCTTTAACAATTATCATGGTATTAAATAAAAAGCAAATAATTCATTTGAAAAGTATATATCTGTAATTGTTCAGAATTTTTTTTTTTTTAGTTTGGCTTATAGAGAGACCCATTTACTTTCATGGTCTTACTAAGATGTGCATTTCTAAAATATTTTAGAAATCATGCATCTATACAACTGGGTTAAGCATTCAATAGAGAGAGGTCAAGGCCATCTTTTCAGTTTCTGACTTAAATAAGAGAAGCATTTGAAAAAGGATACTTTTCTCATGAGAACGAGATAAATGAGTTGAATTTGAAATACACTGAGTTTGAAAGTGCCAGAGTAGAAAAGGAATAAGTTGATTTGAAGTTCAAAAGAAAGGTCTAGACTGATGTCATTTGTCAGAATAACTGAAAAGGCATGGGTGGAGCTTAGACAATCCTGATGAACCTTGAAGAGCAGCACTGTTCAATAGAAATATAATATGAATCACGTATTATTTTATATTCTTCTAGTAGCCACATTTTAAAAAGTAAAATAAAATTGGTAAAATTAACTTTAATGAATTAACCTGATATATTTTAAATATCATCTTAACATGTGGTATCAGCCACATTTCAAACACAACCACAGGTAGCTGCTGGCTGCTGTGCTAGACAGTGCAGGTGTAGAGAGAGAAGGGAGTGCTAAGAACAAAACCTGTGGGATCCCAACACTGAAAGAATGCGGGAGGATGCAGAAGACCCTCACATGGAGGCCAAGAGACACCTATCTAGATCTCAGCTTGTCCACAGGCGGTGAGCAGCATCTTCACATCTATGTCTCGGGTGTTACTTTCTAGATGGGTGACACTTGCAGGGTGAATTAGGAGATCTCTCATTCTGTCAGTGACGTAGACCTCCCTCCCCAAACCAGTTTCCATTGTAAGTATGGTCGTATTTGCCCTAGGTTACAAATTAGCCAGAGCCCTTGTAATGTAAGGCTTGTGGGTATATTTACCAACCACATCTTAATCAAAATAGTGTAATGTGGTAGCATCCCTGTAACAATATTAACCATTTAGTAACATATTCTGTTGTCTCGGTTGGACCAAAACTTCAAATCTAGGAAGTGAAAATTTGAGAAAAGTATAAAACAACAATACCACTCCCTTGCTTAGTGCTTTGGGGTTTATTTGCAGTCATTTTTTAATTTTTTTTTTTATTTTCATAGGTTATTGGGGCAAAGGTGGTATTTGGTCACAAGAGTAAGTTCTTTAGTGGTGATTTGTGAGATTTTGGTGCACCCATTACCCAAGTAGTATACATTGCACACAGTTTATAGACTTTTATCCCTCACCCCCTTCCCATCCTTTTCCCCTGTGTCCCCAAGGTCCATTGTGTCATTCTTATGCATTTGCATCCTCATAGCTTAGCTCCTACTTATGAATGAGAACACACAATGTTTGGTTTTCCATTCCTGAGTTACTTCACATAGAATAATAGTCTCCAATCTCATCTAGGTTGCTGTGAATGCCATTAATTCATTCCTTTTTTATGGATGAATAGTATTCCATTGTAAATATATACCACAGTTTCTTTATCCACTCGTTGATTGATGGGCATTTGGGTTGGTTCCATGTTTTTGCAATTGGGAATTGTGCTGCTATAAACATGCATGTGCAAGTATCTTTTTCGTATAATGACTTCTTTTCCTCTGGGTAGATACCCAGTAGTGGGATTGCTGGATCAAATGGTAGTTCTACTTTTAGCTCTTTAAGGAACTGCCACACTGTTTTCCAGAGTGGCTGTACTAGTTTACACTCCCACCAGTAGTGGGATTGCTGGATCAAATGGTAGTTCTACTTTTAGCTCTTTAAGGAACTGCCACACTGTTTTCCAGAGTGGCTGTACTAGTTTACACTCCCACCAGCAGTGTAGAAGTGTTCCCTGTTCACTGCATCCATCCCAACATCTATTATTTTTTAATTTTTTTGATTATGGCCATTCTTGCAGGAGTAAGGTGGCATTGCATTGTGGTTTTGATTTGCATTTCCCTGATCATTAGTGATGCTGAGCATTTTTTCATATGTTTGTTTGCCATTTGTATGTCTTTTTTTGAGAATTGTCTATTCATGTACTTAGCTCACTTTTTATTGGAATTGTTTGGTTTTTTCTTGCTAATTCATTTGAGTTCTTTGTAGATTCTGTATATTAGTCTTTTGTCAGATGTATAGATTGTGAGGATTTTCTCCCACTCTGTGGGTTGTCTATTTACTCTGCTGACTGTTCCTTTTGCCGTGCAAAAGCTCTTTAGTTTAATTAAGTACCAGTTAGGCAATAGTCACCAAGCAGCATGGTACTGGTATAAAAATGGGCACATAGACCAATGGAACAGAATAGAGAACCCAGAAATAAATCTGAATACTTACAGCCAACTGATCTTCAAAAAAGCAAACAAAAGCATAAAGTGGGGAAAGGACTCCCTATTCAACAAATGATAATTGCCCAGCCACATGTAGTAGAATGAAACTGGATTCTTACCTCTCACCTTATGCAAAAATCAACTCAAGATGGATCAAGGACTTAAATCTAAGACCTGAAACTATAAAAAACCTAGAAGATAACATTGGAAAAACCCTTCTGACATTGACCTAAGCAAGGATTTCATGACCAAGAGCCCAAAAGCAAATGCAATAAAAACAAAGATAAATAGCTGAGACTTAATTAAACTAAAGAGCTATTGCAGCCATTTACATCCAGTATCTCATTTGGGCCCAGAGCCAACCTGATGAGGACTCAAAGATTATTTCAAGGGAGGGAAAAGCACAGGTAATGAGGCTTTCTTCTTTTTGGTGTTTTTCTTTATTCCTTACTCTTCTTGCTCTTCTCTACTTCTTTCATCTCATCTCTCCTATCTTTTTTCCTCCTTTCTCCTATTCTTTGTTCTCCTTATTCCTTTTCCATTAATTTTACATCTCCTGTATTTGACGTGTGTGTGTGTGTGTGTGTGTGTGTCACTTAGCTGATTCTAGCATGTTCTGGTAATGAATGTTTTCTATCTGTTATATTGTTGAACACTGCCTTTGGTGCTGGGCTTTTATTTTACTTCGATTTAAGCAATATTTTAAATTCATAATTTCATTTAAGTTGCTAATTTGCAAAATTTATTTAGCGCCTGCTGTCAGTCTTTTTCTTAAATTAAGAACCATACAGTAAATTAGTTCATACTGGTAATTATATTTTCTAAAATTATTGAAGCAAATCAAACCCAGAATGTCAAAGTATTTTCTCAAATGAAGCTAAGCCAAACCCATTATTTAAGTTTGTTGCTAATTCTAACTGCAAATAAACACTCAGTATAATAGATTTCTATACTTTTTCTGGATCATGGATCAGGAGCCATGGACTATTATAGTCATAAAGAAACATCAAGAGCAACTTTTTCAAATATCTCATTTTATAGATATTCATGCTAACGCTCAGAGGGGTGCCCTGATATGCTCAAGATCAGGCAACAAATGAGAAGTAGAGGCAGGTTTAGAAGAAAAACTTAAGAGAGAACTCAAACTTACTGCCCTACACTCTGTTCTAGGCAAGGCAGAGATTGAGGCCCCTCTTCTCCTTGGCTCTCTGACTTCTATTTTGTTTCCTGCTCTTTATATCTGACTGTCATTAGTGGGTGGTTCTCTATGTTCTCTCTCTCCCTCTCTCTCTCTCTCCTGCCCATTTCTCCTATCTCTCTCTGTCTGTCTGTCTGTATGTGTCTTCTTTCTCTTCTTCCTTTCTGTGTGTGATGTTTTATCTCTGTGTGTCTCTTTTATCTCTCTCTGTCCTCTCTATTTGAGTCCAGAATAAAGCAAAAGGAGTAAGTGGAATGTTTCCCTATGAATCAGATGGCAGCAGAAAGGGATTTGTTTTTCACAAGACTTGAAAGTCCCACGTGAAGCTCTCCCGCTCTGCTCCGTGCCTGGACCGGCTGCTGCTGTCAGCAGGCCTTGTTTCTCACCAGCAGCAGGGGCAAGTGACAGTTGCTTTTTCTGCTTCGGGTTTGATTTTGTGGGCATTTTATCATTGGAGGGGTGAAATGTTATGAAGGAAGATGACAACAACAGTTTTTTGTCATATTGGCAAACAGGGTCATTACTGTACATTCGTAACCTTAGAGAAATGAGTTTTTACTGGACTATCAGAAACTACAGCACAGGATATAATGAATGTATCAGAGCTCAGAATTTGTTTTTAAATGAAATTACGTGGAAAAATGTACCAATCCTTAATGAATGTAATCACTGTGTTTTTCTTCCTGGCATGTGTGTTTGTGTGTGTGCGCGTGTGTGTTTGTATATGTGTGTGTTTGTGCATGTGTGTGTGTGTGTGTGTTTGTGTGTGTGATCATGCATACACACAATCCAGTATCTTCCACCGGGTGTCCCCACGGCTTCTAGCCTTTGGGGTTACCCTCTTCTCTAATATTAAAGAGAAACTCAAGCCCTCATCCCACGGACTGTGAGAGATTGGGTGGCTTGTTTTCCTCCTTCTTCTCTCCAGTAGTCCCAAGGATTTTTAGGAGGTTATTTCATTTCTTCTGGCTCCCGCCCTGTGACTCCCTGTTCTGTTGGATTCTCAGTCCTTCCTTTGCGTCTTGTATCCAGCACATGACGTTCCCTTCCACGTGTGCCACATGCTGCCCTGGATTCTTTCATGTCCCAAAGTACTGCGAGTGCAAGGTCCTGCACGCCACAAAATTTCACTGGAGGTTTGGGGACAGGCCTGGCGAGTTAAGCACATCACAGTGAAAGGAAATCAGATCAGAGTAAAATGAAATCTTAGACAGCAATGCCTTCACAATTCACCTGCATTTTCCTGGCAGGAGGAGTTTCTGGGTGATTTTACTGTCATTGTTGCTGTTGGTTTTGCCTGCTATGCCTCCTTTAAGCCTCGCTGATTATTCCACACTCTCCCCATGCACTTTCTTTTTTTATGTTAATTAGCTTTATTTAATCATGCTACATTGTATGCATATTTCAAGACATTGTACCCCATAAATACATACAATTATAATTTGTTAATTAAAAACTTAAAAAGAAATTTAAAATGTAGTGGCTGAAAAGAATAAACAGAAATCAAATAACCATGTTAGAGATTATTGTTAAACTCCATAAAAGTTATCAGTTTGAACTTTAAAAGAAAAAAAGCCAGTTGCTTTCATTACTAGTTTGAGCTTTGCTCTACCCAGCTGTAAAAATTCCTCCCTTTCTATAATAAATGTCCACTCACCCTCTCACTAGCTGCCAGATTCAAATCCCAAGCTGCTATTCTTTTCCATGTCAAGCACTTGAGCTATTCAACCCTTACCTCAGAGTAGAATCTAAGCCACCTTTGCAGAACCAAAATTGAAGCTTTGCTAAATAAACAGTCTAAAACTCCCTGTCTAACCTTTCGCACCAAAAGAAACCTCTATGGAATTTTGAAATCATAGTTTCTTTAACATGATCAAAATCTTAGGCAAGTTTCTTTAATCAGGGTTAGAGTAGAGCTATTCTCTCCACATACTGAATAAGACCTAGGGGAGGGAGGATTATTTTTCAGTTTGTGAAAATTATCACTGGTATTGCTTTCAATATGACTTCCTGTCCCCCTCTCTTCTTCAGGGACTCAAATAACAAAGTTTATTAGACCTTTCTTTCTGTTTCATGCATCTCCTACTATGTTTACTTTTCATTCTATTTTTTTTTCTCTGCATTTACCTGGGTATTTTGTACTGACACTTCATCCAGTTCTTTATTCCCCTATTCAGTGTGGATAACCAGCTCCCAAACCTATATATTAAATCCCTAATTTCAAAATATTATAGTGTTTTTCCATTCTAGAATTTCTATTTGATTCTTTCTGTATGTTCCAGTTCTTTGGAACTGGACGGAAACTCTTCACATTTTCCTCTTTTTGAACATATTTGTCATAATTAAAGCCCATATGTTATAATGATACCTCATTCACCTGTTGATTACTCTGAATTATTTTTTTCTTGGGTTTCAGTCATTTGGTTTTGGCTTCTGGCATGACTTGTAATATTTGATTGATTCAGTGCCAGAAATCGTATATGGAGGGGGCTTCAAGATAGCTAACTGGAGGTATCTGGTACTTGCCTCCTCCACAAAGAAGAACCAAAATAGTGAGTAGATAATCAAACTTTGAATAGATTATCTAAGAAAGACACTGGAATTCAACAAAGAAGTGACAGGAAACACCTAAGGCAAAAAAGGAGAGAGAAGCAAGGCAGCCAGCTCAGCTGGGATTGGCCAGGAGCCCAGAGAGGCTCCCAGTGCAGGGAAAGGGTAAGTGAGAGACCCCCAGCTGACCACATTCCCACCATGGACTTCTGCAATCCTAGTGACTCAACCCCTGCAGGCTCTGAGACTAACATGGGGAGCTGCCTGGAAACTCTGTGACCGCATTGCTCGAGAGAAGCTCATGCTGGCTCCCACACACACCCTTATGTCTTAAGTGGCTACAACAAAGTGCCACTTTGAGAGCCCAGCCCCCAGCAGAATGCATCCTGTTCTGGGGACCCATGGCCCCACATCTTTACATCCCTGAGGCCCATTGATATCCCCCATCCATAGCTGCCATCGCTGCTGGCTGCTGTTACCAGGGCCAAAGCACCAGCCCTTGGCAGCACTCTCACCACCAGCAGCAGTGGGCTGTTGTGCATTTATAAGTGCCCTGAGGACAAGGTACCCTGCCTGCCACCACCACCAGGCTGAAGTGCACACTCCCCAGCTGCCTGCGTATGGCTGCTGCCACTGAAAAAGCAACCCTGCTCTCCTCAGTAGCAGGGCCGCAGTGCAGCCGCTGGTTCCCCAACCCAGGCATTTCACTGGGGGCCTGGGGATCACCCTGTCACTGCCTACCACAGCCAGTGCCTGCAGGCACCACTTGGGGAGCCTGAGGACAGACTCACTTAGCCTGGCTCCACCACCTCCAGTGCCTGAGCTCGCCGTCTGGGTACCTGAGGATTCTCCTGCCCTGTGCACCATAGGCACCTGAGCATCTCTCCCAGGGACCTAAGGACAGGCTTACCCAACCTGCCACTACCACCACAGCTGGCACCCACCTACATGTGCTACCACCTGTGGGCCTGAGGACTGGCCCACCCAGCTCATTGCAGCCGCCACAGACCCCAGCATGGACCACTTGGAAACCAGAGGATTGTCATGCTGCTACTACTGCCATTGCTCACACCACACCTGCCATCCAGGTGCCTGAGGACCCACCCACCTGCCCAGCCCACAGCTGGCACCGGAGAAAGCCACCTGGAGGCCCAAGAATATGCCTGCCTGGTCCTGCTAGCGCTAGTACCAGCATAGCCTACCCTGAGGCTGAAGGATGGGTATTCTTGGCCCGTCACTGCCACCACTGGGGCCTGTGGACTGGCCTACCTGTCCTCCTTATCTCAGCAAAACTTCACCATAGCTTCTAGTAATAACTACCGTAAGCCACTGAGGAAATTACAGATACCACTGATGCTGTTTACAGCCAAATAAATCATAGAGAAACTATACTACTGCATATATCCAGAATCAAAGCCAAAGTGCACTACCAAACCAACATCATAGGTACATCTTGAGGAAAAAATCCTTCCTTAGCAAGAAAATTCAAACAACTGGAGAAGTGACTGTTGTGTCAGATGTGCACATATCAATGTAAGGACACAAGAAACATAAAAAAGTGGGGAACTATGACACCTCAAAAGAAATACAATAATTTTCTAGCAACACATTCCAAAGAAAACAAAATTTATGAAATCCTGGGAAAAGAATTTAAAATAGTTATTTGAAAGGAATTCTGTGAGATGTGAAAGAAAACAGATAAATAATACATATAAATCAGAAAAGCAATTCAGGATATGAATAAGATGTTTACCAAAGAGATAGATATTATAAAAAGCATCAAACAGAAATTCTGGAACTGAACAATTTATTGAATGAAATTTTAAAATATGTTTGAAAGCTTTAACAGTAGACTAGATCAAACAGAAGAAACAATTTCAAAATCGGGAGACAGGTCTTTTGAGATAACCCAGTCAGACAAAAAAAAGGAAAAAGGATTAAAAAAATGAACAAGGACTTTCTGACATATAAGACACCATAAAGTGTCCAAATATTTGAAATTTTGGTGTACCAGAAGGTGAAGAAAAAAACAAACAAAAAAAGGGATAGAAAACTTATTTAGCCAAATAATAGCTGAAAACCTCCCAAGTTTAGAAAGATATTTAGACATACAGATGAAGGACATTTACTGATCCCCAAATAGAAAGTGTAAAACCTATGGGTAAAAATAAATAGAAGACTGAAATGTTACCACTACAGAAAGCCACCAAACAACAATGCTAAACATTAACAGAGAAAAAAAAAGATATAGAAAACAAGCAGAAATCAATTAATAAAGTGACAGCAATAAGCCTTCACATATCAATGATAACCTTGAATGTAAACTGATTAAACTTTTCACTTAAAAGTTATAGACTGACTGAATGGATAAAATACATAACCCAACTGTATGTTGCCTACAAGAAACTAATCTCACCTGTAAAGACACATATAGACTGCCAGTAAGTGATGGAAAAAAATATTCCATGCAAATGGAAACCAAAAACGGGCAGAAGTAGCTATACTTATATCAGATAAAATAAGCTTTAAATAAAAAACAGCAAAAAATGAAGGTTATTATATAATAATAAAGGGATCAATTCAACAAGAGGGGTAACAATTTTAAACATATGTGCACCCACCAACAGAACACTCAGATATGTAAAGCAAGTATTAGTTTTAAAGGGAGAGTTAGAGTCCAGTACAATAATAGTTGAGGGTTTCAACACCCCAGTCTCAGCATTAGACAAATTGTATAGACAGAAAATCAACAGAGAAACATTGAATTTAAACTGCAGTTTAGACCAAAAGGACCTTTGGTATTTATAGAATATTTGAACTGACAGCTGCAGAATACACATTCTTCTCATCAGCACATGGAACATTCTCCAGGATAGTTCATATGTTAAACCTCAAAACAAGTCTCAACAAATTTTTTAAAAATTGAAATCATGTCAAGTATTTTCTTAGACCACAATGAAATCAAACTAGAAATCAGTAATGATGAACTAGAAATCAATAACAATGGAAACTCTTCAAACACATGGAAATTAAACAACATGTTCCTGAATGACCACTGGGTCATGGAAGAAGTTAAGGAGGAAATTAAAAAATATCTTGAAACAAATGAAAGTCAAAATGCAACATACCAAAAGCTATGGGATACAGCAAAAGCACTGTTCAAAGGAAAGTTTATAGTGATAAATGCCTGTGTCAAAAAAATAGATTTCAAGTAAACAATCTAATGATGTATCTCAAGGAAATAGAAAGTCAAGAACAAGCCAAACCCCAAACTAGTAGAAGGAAAGAAATAATAAAGGCCAGAGCAGAACTAAATAAAATAGAGACAAAAAAAGGATCATCAAAACATTGTTTTAAAGATCAACAAAATCAATAAACCACTAGCTAGAGTAACCAAGGAAAAAAAAATGAAAAGAAAACCTCAAATAAAATCAGAAATGAAAATGGAGACATTACAACTGATAACCACCAAAATGCAAAAGATCATCAGAAACTATTATGAACAATTATACACTTACAAACTGGAAAACCTAGAGGAAATAGAAAAATTCCTGGACACATACAGGCTACAAAAATTGAATCAGAAAGAAATACAAAACCTGAACAGACTGGTAATAAGATTAGATTGAAACAGTAAAAAAAAGTCTCCCAACAAAGCAAAGTTCTGCACCTGAGGCTTTACTGCCAAATTCTACAAAATTTACAAAGAAGAACTAACACCAATTCTCAAACTATTCCAAAAAATCAAAGAGGAGAGAATTCTCATTAACTCATTCTAAGAAGCCAGCATTACGTTTATTCCAAAACCAGTCAAAGATGGAACAAAAAAGAAAACTACAGACCGGATGAACATAGACACAAAAATCCCCAACAAAATACTAGCAAACCAAATTCAACTGCATATCAAAAAGATAATATACCATATCAAGTGGGATTTATCCCGGGGATGAAAGGATGGTTCAACATATGCAAATCAATAAACATGATACATCAAATCAACAGAGTGAAGGACAAAAACCATATGATCATCTCAATAGATGTAGAAGAAGCATTGGATAAAATTCAACAACTTTTTATGTTAAAAATTTCTGGGAAAGTAGGCATAGAAGGAACATACCTTAAAATAATAAAGGCCATATATGACAAACACACAGCTAACATCATACTAAATGGGCAAAAGCTGGAAGCATTCCCCTTGAGAACAGGACAAGGATACCACTCTCACCACTCCTATTCAACATGCTACTGAAAGTCGTAGCCAGATCGTCAGGCAAGAGAAAGAAATAAAAGACATCCAAATGGGAGAAGAAGCCAAATCATCCCTCTTTCCAGATGACATGTATGTGTGTGGGTGTGTATGTATATCTATATATAATATAGATATATAAACATATATCATATATAATCTATATATAACCATATATAATCATACATATAATCATATAATATATATAATCATATATAATACATATAATCATATATATAATGATTACATATATATAATGTAATCATATATAATCATATATATAATCATATATAATATATAATCATATATAATCATACATAAAATCATATATATAAAATATATATAATCATATATATAATCATATATAATATATATATAATCATATATATACTCATATATATATAATCTATATATATAATCATATATATACTCATATATAATCATATATATATAATCATATATATATACTCATATATAATCATATATATAATCATATATATATATAATCATATATATATATATATATATATATATATATATATATACACCCAAAGATTCCACCAAAAATCTCCTAGATCTGATAATAAATTCAGTAAAGTTGCAGGATACAAAATCAACATGCAAACATCAGCAGTGTTTCCATTCACCAATAATAAACTAACTGAGAAAGAAATCAAGAAGGTAATCCATTTACAATAGCTACAAAAATAAATAAATAAAATCTAGAGATAAATTTAACCAAGGAGGTGAAACACCTCTACAAAGAAAACTACATAACACTGATTTAAAAAATTAAAGAGGACACAAACAAAGGTCACCCATGCTCATGGATTGGAATAATTAATATTGTTAAAATGACCTTATTACCCAAAGCAATCTACAAATTGAATGAAATCCCTATCAAAATACCAATGTCATTTTTCACAGAAAGAAAATATAATTATAAAATGTGTATGGAACTGAAAAAGAGCCTGAATAGCCGAAGCAATCCTGAGCAAAAAGAACCAAGCTGGAGGCATCACACTACCTGACTTCAAAATAAACTACAAAGCTTTAGTAACCAGAACAGGATGGTATTGATATAAACACAGACTCATAGACCAGTGGAACAGAATAGAGAATGCAGAAATAAATCTATGTGTTTACAACCAGATGATTTTTGACATAGGTGCCAACAACATACATAGGGGGAAAACACACTCCTCATCAAATTGTGCTGGGAAAACTGGATCCGTGTTCAGAAGAACGAAACTAGACCCTTATTTCTCACCATATATAAAAACCAATCCAGAATGAATTGAACACTTAAATGTAAGACCTGAAACTAAAAACTAGAAGAAAACAGAAGGGGCAATGCTTCAGGAGATTGGTCTAGGAAACGATTTTATGGCTAAGACCTTAAAACCATAGGCAAAAAACCAAAAATAGACAAATTGGACTATATCAAACTAAAACCTTCTACACAGCAAAGGACACAATCAACAGAATGAAGAGACAGCCTTAAAAATGAGAGAAAATATTTGCAAACTATTCATCTGACAAAGAACTAATATTTAGAACATGCAAGAAACTCACAAGTCAACAGCAAAAAACCCTAATAATCCAATTTTAAAATGGGCAAAAAATCCAAATGAACATTCCTCAAAAAAGGACAAACAAATGGCCAAGAAGTATATAAAAATGCTCAACGTCACTAAGTATTGGGGAAATGCAAATCAAAACCACAATAAAAATATCATCTTACTCCAGTGAAAAAGACCATTATCAAAATGTCAAAAAATAAATGCCGGTGAGCATGTGGGAATGTAAATTATTATAGCCAGTATGGAAAACAGTATGGAAATGACTCAAAATTTTAAAAACAGAACTGCCATATGATATGGCAATTTTACTACTCGGTGTTTATCCAAAAAAAAGGAAATCAGTATATCAAAAAGATATCTGCACCCCATCTTTATTGCAGCACTACTCACAACAGCTATGAATCAGCCTAATTATTCCTCAGTATATGAATGCATTTTAAAAATGTAGTACATATACATGGAATACAGTGGAATACTATTCAGCCTTAAAAAAATTGAAATCATGTCATTTGCAGCAACATGGAGGACTAGGAGGTCATTATGTTAAGTGAAATAAGCCAGTCACAGAAAAATTAATAGTGCATGTTCTCCCTCATATGTGGGAGCTTAAAAAATGTTGGTTTTATGGAGGTAAAGAGTAGAATTATAGATACCAGAGACTGGGAAGGATGTGCAGGTAGTTGGGCAGGAATGAAGGGGTTGTTTAATGGGTCTGTACAATTACACAGGAAGAATACAGTGTAATGTTCAATAGCAGAGTAGGGTGACTATAGTTAATAACGGTGTATTGTATATCTCAAAGGAGCTAGAAGGGAGCAGTTGAAATACTCTCAACTCATAGAAATGATGTATCTCTGAGGTGCTAGATACTATAAATACCCTAGCTTGATC